>NT_187678.1:0-166540 GCF_000001405.40 Homo sapiens | reverse complement strand
CATTATAATAAAAACCTTTAAATGCTCTGAGTGCCCAGCGTCAGCATGGTGATAACATACATACGAGGGAATATTGTGCAGCTGCAGTTAGTTCTTATTACATTTCACAGGCATCTTAAATGCTTTGTGAACACCGGTGCATAGATTTTTTTGTTTGGTATAGATGGCAATGATTAGATGGGTGAAATAATAAAAAAAATGGACATATAATTTTAAAAATATTGAGTGACAGAAAAAAATGAAAAAATGTTAAAGAACTTTTTGGTTATGATATTATCACTAAAAGGCCGTGTCTCCTTGCTCCCTTCTTTGGGGACGGTTCTGGGCTTGCCTGGCCCGTGGGTGGGAATTGTGGTGCTCCAAGTGCCTTCAGCTGCTGCTGGGGTCCCAGGAGCCCAGCCTAGGTGTTCTTCCATCCTCACCACCCCATGGCCTCCATGGAGCCCCACGGCAGCCTCAGGAAGGAGGGCAGTATCGTCAGAACACAGTCCTCATGGACCCCCCAAGAGACCCTTGGGCAGAATGCCCCATCCCACCCAGGTCCAGCTTCACTCAGCACGTAAACAGGAACACGGCTGCAGGCAGGCTCCACGCACCCCGTCCCCAGGGAAGCCGCAGCCCTCGTCCCACGTATCCCGGGCAGGCATCTGTAACTGAGGGCTGCGTGGTCGGGTGAGCAGCGAGGCACATGCTGGCTGGGCGGGGAGGGGCGGCCCTGAGTGGTCGTCTTGCTCAGTGCTAGAGGGGCTCTGAGCCGAAGGTCTGAGGGTCCTGGAGCTGCCATGGCAGATCCCCACAGTCTCGGCAGCTCAAAACAACAGGGACTCATTCTCTCCCCGCTCAGCAGGGAGGGGTCTGAAATCGAGTCCATGGGCCGTGCTCCCTCCAGAGGCTCCAGGGGAGGACCCTGCCACCTCCACCAGCTTCTGTGGCTCCAGGCGTCCCTGGGCCGCGGCCACAATGCTGCACCTCTGCCTCGGTCTCCAGGCGACCTCCTCCTCTGTCTGCGTCTAACCTCCCTCTGCCTCTGTGTAAGGACACTTGCCGTGCATGTAGGGCCAACGAGTTAATCCAGAATGACCTCCTTATCTCAAGATCTTTAACTTAAACACAGCCACAAAGACCTGCCTCCTATTTGAAGAGAGGTTCTCTGCACAGTTCCAGGGTCAGGAGGTGAACACCAGGTGGCCCAGCCTCAGCCACCCCAGTGATGATGTGTGAGGTTTCAGAACAGCTGTGCTGCCCTGTTAGGAGCTATACACGCAGAAAGGCAACTCCGCCAGCGTCAGGGGTGCCGGATGCATGCAGGATCAGAAGGCGTCGGATTTCCCAGGGAAGCTGGGGAGCAAGGATCCTGCACCAAGGGAGGCAGGAGGCCGGAGACCAGCCCAGGCCCAGTCCAGGAGGAGCCTGGCCAGGAGTCCCACCAAAGCCACTGGAGCCTCCGTGACCCAGCCCTGGAGGGTCAGCACTGTCCCTCAAACGGATTCTTCACACACAGGTCTCTCTGTCTGTGGGGGCTGCAGGGCCAGTGCCTGAGGAGCCCGGACTTCACACAGGGGTCTCTCTGTCTGTGGGGGCTGCAGAGCCGGTGCCTGGGGAGCCCGGACTGCCGGAAACCTTTGCGGTGGGAGGCTGCAGATGGGACTTCTTGGCCTGTGTTTATGTGGAGCCCAGGCTGCGGGCACCACAGCCAGGCACAGGTCAGGGGTAAGTTGTGGGTGATGTAAGGACTAGAAGCGTAAGTAATGGCCTGACCCCCATGTCCTGGCTGTGCTGTGCGGTGGGAAAGACATGGGCTCCGGCGGCTGCTGGGGATGGCCTGGCTTGCACCTGCTGGGTCCCCCCCTGGCCACCAGCCTCACCCAAGGGCAGTTGGTGACTGCCTGCCTCACTCCTGCCAACCCTCAGGGGCCTAGGAGTCCTGCGTGGTGGGTCTAGGAACCATGCTGGAGGACAGGCCTGTGCCAGGGCCACCAGGATGTCTATGGCAGGAGCCGGTGCTGGCGAACCCCACACCTTGAGCCCCAGAGCCAGGATCCTCAGCCCAGGAAAGGGACCAGAGGCGGGAAAACCACACGGCAAAGGCTGTCCCGTGAGGTCACGGCTCCGTCACCGCTGCCCACACACGGAAGGCAGCCGCGGCTGGGTGAAGCCATCTTCACAGACATGCCGTCCTTGAGGCTCTCACACATGCACACAGACGCTCCGTCCTCTCCCACCCGCCCCCCCGCCACCCCGGGCAGGCCAGGAAGTCCCATCTGGGGCCTCCCACCCCGAGGGTTGCCGTCAGTCCGTGTGCCCAGGCATCGGGGCCTGAAGCCTCCACAGACAGCGAGACCTGTGTACGAAGCAGACTCTGTCCTAGGGACAGTGCTGACCCTACAAGGCTGGGTCACTGGAGGCTCCCCGGGTCCAGTGGCTTTGGTGGGACTCCTGGCCAGGCTCCTCCTGGGCCGGGCTGGTCTCCGGCCTCCTGCCTCCCTTGGTGGAGCACCCTTGCTCCCCAGCACCTCCCAGGTTCACACAGCTCCTCCCTGGGGCTGCGCACTGACCCAGGGGCAGGAGGTGGGCCATCCTCTCGGTGGACTGAAGACCTTGTCCGAAGGGAAAGCAGGGCCGGCCCAAGGCCTGGCTGGAAGAGTGGGTCTTGGTGGCAAAGGCGGCCCGTGGGGGCAGCCCACGCGAATGCTTCCCCGGCGCCCTGAGCCCCTGACCGCGGCTGAGCCTGCGGTACTCTGGCCCCTCTCGTGGAAAGATGACCTGGGTCTACCATGCTCAGTATCACCCAAAAATTCCTACAGAAGTCTCTCGGGACAAGAAAAGGCCTTCTTCCCTCCCTCCTCCTTTCCTCTTCCTTTCTTTCATCAGGGAACAGCTTCCGGCTGCCTGCACTGTTTGGGCGCCGTCATAAGGAGCCGTGACGGCCTTCACAGAGCTCCGGGGCTCACGGGTGTGGCTGACCTGCCACAAATGGGGCGACAGAGGAGAGGGAGGGTCGGGCACCGATGGCTCAGGAGGGAAGAGATCCCTTCTGTATGGGGAGACGGGGGCTTCCTGGAGGGCACTGGAGCGAGGGGCTCACCAGAGTGAGACATCCAAGGGATCTGGGGGACCGGCCATGGGACACTGCGGTCCCACGTGGCTCCTGGATGTGCTGTGTGTTTGCTGAGCTGGAGGGGACGGGGAGCCCATGTGTGGGAGAGGGAGAGGCCATGCACGCCCTGAGTCGGGCTTTACAAAAACCTTCTGGGGGCAGCAGGAGAGGAGCCACGCAGAGGCAGAGCCAGGGAGAGGCGGTGGGGTAGTGAGGGGGATGTCGGGGTGCACGGGTTAGGAGACCCCCGAGTCCTGGGACCTGCATGCTGATAGTCAAGGTTGCAGAGGCGGCTGCTGTGGTGACCACAGGGCAGGGAGAGGCAGTGGGGTAGTGAGGGAATGTCGGGGTGCACAGCACCAGACCCTCCCAGATCTTCTGATTCAGTCCTGGGGGGACCCTACCCCAGATCTTCCAATTCAGTCCTGGTTCGGCCTGAGAATTTGCATTTTTAACATGTCCAGGGACCACAGTTTGAAAACCTCCACGGCTGACATGTAATGGGATGACATGGTCCAATAAATGAAGGAAAAATAACAGGTGGCAACCTCAGGCAGCTTCATCCCAACCAGTAAGAAAGTAAATCCTTTTGTAAACTAAGAGGAAGTATTAATATGGGCGTTTGAGCAAACATTTAAGTGTTAGAACAAAGAATTAAAAACTAGCACAGGCACCCCTGAAGCATGATAGGATGGCAACAGAAGGGCTGATTTAGTTTCCAAGAAATAACTGACAGGCAGTGTTGTGCGTGTGTCTACTACTTAGGAACCCAAAACAAACCTTCAGACCGTTTTCATGAGTACTGAGACCAAGAAAACCACTGGGCAGTGGGTGGTCTGGAAATGTAAATGTTGATGGTACTCCAGTAATGAGTCATGGAACAATGTTTCATATTGAAAATGTTTTTGTAAATGTGGGTTTCAAGGTTTCAAAGTGAACCCGTATGTGTTAGGAGAAAGGACACACCAAAGAAGTAAAATAATTGGGTCAATATAAAAAGAAAGTAGAATACTGCCCAGAGAGAAGATGTGGATAATTCCTAACACGGATCAAAGGCACCAAAAAGGTGAGCTGTGAGTAAGATATTCAGACCTGCACCATCCCCTGCATTAGACACAGACAACATCTTGGTAGGCAACTGGGTGAAAATTCAGAGACAACCCTAGGAACTATGAGGATGAAAAAAGTTAGCATTCATGGAATGAGGCACTGACGAAACTGAAAAGCTGGAATAACCCCATGAAATAACGAGAATAATTGTAGTATTCTGAACCGGGGCACAGGACACAGGACTGGAGTGGAAGGCCGCATGAGACCACCCCGGGAAAGACCCAGGGATCACACTGGCCCAAAGGTGGGCACTTCCCAACTCCGGGATTTGTGATACAGGCACTCCAGGCTCCACCATAGAACTGTGTCCAGCACGAAGGCAGTGCTGTCTTGCGGGAGGCAGGGCTGCACCACCACAGGGGCGGGAAGGGGCCCGGCAGGGAGGCGCCCAGTGTTTCCAGCTGCACCGGTCGGGGACCGCGCTGATGCAGAGCGCGGGGGCGCAGGTTAAACCTAAAGGAGGGAAGCTTTTGGGGGCGGAACAGACAACGGAGAACGCTGCACACTGCCCTTCCCACGCGAATTGTGCTTTGCCTTTTTTTTTTTTTTTTTTTTTTTTGAGACGGAGTTTTGCTCTTGTTGCCCAGGCCTGGAGTGCAATGGCCTGATCTCGGCTCACTGCAACCTCCGCCTCCCGGGTTCAAGCAATTCTCCTGCCTCAGCGTCCCGAGTAGCTGGGATTACAGGCGTGCGCCACCACGCCCGGCTAATTTTGTATTTTTAGTAGATACTGGGTTTCTCCATATTGGCCAGGTTGGTCTCGAACTCCTGACTTCAGGTGATCCACCGGCCTCGGCCTCCCAAAGTGCTGGGATTACACGCGTCAGCCACCGCACCCGGCCTGCTTGCTTTTTTTTTTTTTTTTTTTGCAGAGTCTCGCTGTCCACCGGGCTGGAGCTGCAGTGATCTCGGCTCCCTGCGGCCTCGACCTCCCGGGCTCAGGCGATCCTCCCGCCTCAGCCCACGGAGTACATGGGACCACAGGAGCCCACCACGCCCGACTACTTGCTGTAATTTTTGTAGGGATGGGGTCTAGCCCCGCTGCCCAGGCTGGTCCGCACTGCTGGGCTCAAGAGCTCCGCCCGCCTCCGCCTCACAAAGCGCAGGGATCCCAGGTGTGAGCTACCGCGCCCCGCCCAGAGTTTCCGACTGTTAGCGTGAATCATATTCACGTCAAAACTTCTTTTTATACAAGAACTAAAAGGCAAACGAAATCCCTGCTCCATCACTGCCTGTCCCGGGTCGCGGCGCGGGACATTTCCTCCAAGCGCCTTCCCGGCCCCGCGCGCAGGTGGCCTGCGCCGGAGGATCCCGGACAACGCGCATTTCCTGCGCCCCCGGAAGCGGCGGTAACGCCTGGCCCTGCCCCCGGCAGAGGCGGAAGCACAGTCGCTCTGAGGTCGCCCGTGGCCGCAGGTGCCTCAGCCCAGCCGCGCGCCTTGGCCCTTGGCCGCCTACTCCTACCGCCCCGGCCTTGGGCGGCCCTGGGCCTGCTGCGGGCGCGGCGCTGCCCGACCAGAGCTTCCTGTGGAACGTCTTCCAGAGCTGCCACCTGGCACCGCCCCGGCACCTCCCGCCTCCCCCGCAGCTGCCCCGGACCCGTGTCCCGACCCCCGCGGCCAACCCCGTTCCCTGCCGGTTGCCCCGCGGCCTCCCCCGTCACCTGCCGGGTCCCCAGCGGCCTCCCCCGTCCCCTGCCCCGACCTCCGCCGTCTCCCCCGCCCCTGCCCGGACCCCCGCGGGCGCCCCCGAACCCTACCCCGACCGACGCGGCCGCCCCCATCCCCTGCCCCGACCCCCGCGGCCGCCCCCATCCCCTTCCGGGTCCCCCGCGGTCTCCCCCGTCCGCTGCCCGGTCTCCTGGGGCCGCCCCTGCCTCCTGCCCGGTCCCTGTCCTGTGCGTCGGGCGCTTCCCAAGGTGCAGAGGGCGCCACTGCAGACCCGAGGTCGCGGCCACCGGCTCCTGGGCCAGGCCCCGTTTCTCGCCTCGAGCCGTCGGGGGAGGGTCTCCAGGGTGCTTGTTTGGGGAAAGCGGAAACAGACTGTCTGGGCCGCTGTTAAAATGTCAGCAGCCAAGGAAGAAGCAGCGACCTGGCGTCTGCTCGGGCCAGGTGACCTTTATGGCGGCGCCTTCTGTCCCTGGTCGCTTTTCCACTGAATGAATGACCGAAACTGTAGTAACTCATGGCCAGGGAATGGCTTAGTTATCTGAGGGAATCTTGTCTTGTCTGTGAAAAAGGGAAACTGGTGCAAATGGGAATTCAGACAGGTCAGGAGGGGAAGGAAGGGAAGGATTGAGGTGGGAAAAGAGAGAGAAAGATGATTGTCCTCTTAGGGGAAGAACACACTTGGACGTGGCTCCTGGGGCACTTCCTTGATTCCGCTGTACTCCTCAGCGGGACCGGAGAGGCGGAGGTTCCAGGAGGGAGCCTTCCAGAGTCGGTGCAGGGTTGACAGGAGACGTTTGTTTTGCTTTTCCTGAACTTTCGATCGCCAGCTTGTTTGGTCTTCTTGATGTTATAGGGTTGATAGAGAGGAGTGGAGTGATATCGGACACCCAGCTTCAGCAAGCTCTCTCCAAGGGTGAGTGGGCCAGTGGGACCTGGGTCTCCGGACCAAGAAGCCGCGAGCCTGCCCTGCTCACAGTGGATAACTTTCTTTCTGAAGTTGATTTTCCAAGGACAAAGGAATCATTAGGACAAATTATTACTGCTTCATGGTGGAGATGCTTCTGGTTTATTTTGTGGCTACCGCTGTTACTGCTTGGAGTGCCTCACCGAGCCAGCTAACAACGGCGTGCGTGAGCGCAGGGAAAGGCTTCTTGAGAAATGAAAACTAGGTTGTAGGTTTAGGAGGGGAATAGGAAGGTTAGCTCTGTCCAGCCGAAAGCCTTTTGGTAAGTTGGGGGTCCTTGAATTTCCTGGGTGACTGCATCTTGGTGACTTCTCTGAATAGACCTTCGAGGGCACTGGGGGGTGATTGTTGGAGGGCTTGGGGAGCTCAGGCAGCACTTGTGTGGGAACGTGGCTGTTACAGGAACTGCAGAAACTGGGACTGGGTTCCTGGGGAAAGGATTGGGGGTGTTGGAGGCGCTGGCAGGGGAGTTATGGGGAGGCGTTCTTATCAGTGTGCGAATATTGGGCGTTCAGGCAGCGGGAAATCTGGGTCCTTGGCGTGTTGTGAGCTCCCTGGAGTTACGTTCTTGCCAGTTTCAGCTCAATTGATCCCCCTCCCCTGAGCTATCATTGGATACATTTTACTTCATTGAACACCTGACTGCTGCTTTTTCTGTAATCCCTCAGGGGCAGTCATCTTTTCTGATTCTGTGTATAGTTTGCCTTTCCAGATCCGTGCCATTTAAGCTAGAAAAGGGGTCAGTTTTGAGATGTTGTGAAAATGTTGAAAGGCTCCTCGTTATTAGTGGGAAGTATCTGATGTTGCCAGAGACTGAACTGGGGCGCGGGGAGCACTACGGCTGCTAGACACTGCCTCACTGCGCTGTGGGTGGTGGGGGGGGAGGTGCTGGATTCAGTCTTACTGCCTAATGATTTGTGAGGATTTGTGTTTTCAGAGTAACATGTTTACCTTATGTTATCAGTTCCTAATATGTGACGTATGGGCCACAGATGCTGGTGTATTATTTCACATGCATTTATATAGATTGTTTTCAGGGAATTCAGAAATTCTGTTATCTCTACACTAGTGATTGTGCTTTCTTGATTTTTCTCTTTTCATTATTCTTAAATCCTCCTTTTTTTATTTGCATCTCAGTTTATTTATACTCGGGAAGTGCAAGACATGGCGACTAGAAAGAGATGTCAAGAGAACCCGGAATCCAGTAGGCTACAATTTGGCAAATCTTAGCTTAAAACTTCCTAAATGTTGACCACAGTGGATGCAAATGGCTCTGTGCATCGTCTGTTCAATATGGTCAGGTGACCACCCAGGTTCACGTGGTTTGTCACCAGGGTGATACGAGCCACACGGAGTGCCCTCCTCAGAGGCCATGTCTCAGAGACGTTTATTTTGAGTGGTTTTCCAGCGAGTGATGCAAGATTTATGATCCATTTTAACAGCTGCTTTTTATGCATTTGCTCAAATTTTTAGATTTTAAGTTTAGTTTTAGGTTTTCTGTTAATTTGCTCAACTAGGAGTGGTGGTCAAATACTGGACCTCATTAGCATGGTAGCCTGCCCTCCTTGGCAGGCTCCACTGGAGTGCCTTGGGGCCTGCCTGGATTCCAGTCCTGGCTCTACCAGTTTTGTGTCCTCGCCGTTACTGGGAGGGAGTATTGAGGAAATGCATGCGAGGTGCCTCCGTGATTCCTGGCACGGAGCAAGTGCTCAGTAATTGTCAGCTGTGAGTATTAGTAGTAGCTAATACACTACTACTATTCTTGGCTAACAAGCCAGCTCAAAGCTTTGATGGTTTTCCATTACCTGATGATGGTGATGATGGTTTCCACTTCCTGAACACTCACACCCCTGGGCTAGGCACTTAACCCAAATCCAAGGTCAGCGTTATTGTTTGGAGGTGGGGGAGACACCTCCTGCTCTGACTCGTGTGTTTGGGTTCCCGTATTTTCACCAGAGGGTGTTAGTCCTGCCCCAGTTCAGCTGGTCCTCAAAGCGTATATAGCTCTTTAACCCTCAGCAAGTGTCAGTCAGAACATAATCTTGATTTCAGCTGCTACTAAATATCTACCAGGAGCCTGCTTGAGAGAGAGAATTGCCTGACAGGTGCTGAGTCCACCATTCCTGAGATACTTTGAAATCAGTGTCTGGCTTAACCCAAGCTGTGTATGGGGACCCTCTCACCGTGGTCCCAATGGAGTCGCTTTTGTTAGGCGCCCCCCTTTACCTTGGGCTCTGAGCTTCCTCTGCCTTTCATCTCTGCAGGATGAAGCCCCACTCGCCCTTCAGGATGCAAAGCCCTCCTCTATAAAGTGCATGCGGGGCCAGATGCAGTGGCTCACGTCTGACCTCCCAACACTTTGGGAGGCCGAGGCAGGGGGATCGTTTGAGACCAGCCTGGACAACATTGTGAGACCCTGTTCCTTGAATTGCCCTGGGAGATTTCCTCAGCTTGTACTGGAGGTGTGTGGCCCCATGAAGCCCATAGTCACCGTTCACCCTGAGAGACGCTGGCTTTGGGGCTGACACACCTGCTGCGGGGCAGCCCCAGGAGATGGCCACCCTGTTTCTCCTGGAGCTGGAGCTGCGCGTCTTCTCAGAAACTGTGGTGGCTGTCCTGTTTTGTTTGCATCTTATAAACCTTTACCTGATTACATTTTCCTCTTCAATTTAGCTGCTAGAAAACTTAAAGTCAGATTGGTGGCTCACCAGTAATGAGAGTTTAGAGTAGAGGTAAACTTTATGACATAGTCTTAGACTCTTCACTTTCTCCTCAGCCAACATGATTCACATTTACTTTATTTTGCTGTACTGTGAGTGTCTTTGTGTTTCCTGAATTCCTTCTGGAATAAGGCAGGTTGTTAGTAAGCACAGGTTTCTGGTCCATCTCATAGCCTCAGGCAGTGGGCGGTGCTGTCCGTGCTCCCTTTCTGGGTTACCTGTGGTAGCTCTGAAGTTGCAGGGCTGCGATTTGAAGCCTGATTTAGTACACCGTGTTTCTGTTGTGTTCTGTGGTGGTTTGCTCCTCACATGTGAGCATTCACCCTGTGGCCCTGTGTTTTTCCACCACACCTCTGCCTGGTGGCATCCTACTGGATGTCTCAGCTGAGCCACTCTGTTCTGAAGATGCCCTTGTCCTCCACCCCTTTGCTTTGGGCTCTGAGCTTCTTCTGCCTTTCATCTCTGTAGGATGAAGCCCCACCCGCCCTTCAGGATGCCAGCCTTGGCAACATTGTGAGACCCTGTTTCTACAAAAAGTAAACGTGTAGTGGTGCACGCCTGTAGTTCCAGCTACTTGGGAGGCTGAGATGGGAAGATCACTTGAGCCTGGGAGGTTGAGGCTGCATTGAGCTGAGATCAAGCCACGGCACTCCAGCCTGGGAGACAGAGCGAAACCCCATCTCAAAAAAACAAAGAAAGTGGATGCGCGCTGCTCCTGCCATTGGATCATCGCAGCATTTTTCTTTTCTCTGATATGCGCCTTTTTCCTCATCGTGGGGGCTCATGTTTTCGTACTTTTCTCTCGCTACTAGATTGTGAGCTGCGTGAAGGAAGGTTCATAGTCGTGTTGTATGTACAGGCACACAAAATTTGTGCTTGGATAGACACATATCAATCCGCTTCCTTCTCCTCTCTGAGTTTCTTTATTTAAAAAAAAAATTAGAGATGGAGTCTCACTGTCTTGCCCAGGCTGGTCTCAAACTCCTAGGCTCAAGCGATCCTCCCGCCTCTACTAATATGAATTATTAGCCTATACTAATATGAATTCCTATACTAATATGATTGAAATTAGTTTGACTTGTATAATAATTGTTCTCCCAGATTGGGCTTCTGTTTTGATAGTAGAACTAAATTATTAGGCTATTTCAAGAAATTAATATATTACTGGTAGAAAAACTGAAGCTACAAAATGGCCTGGTTTCTCACTTCAGTTAAATTTGTGCTTCTGAGTGCTTGTATTGTAGGTGAAACCGCACTGAGAAGGTATTTGTGGCCCGTATGCTGATTGATTGATGAGACTTCTTTGCACAGGAGAGCTGCTAAAAATTATTACGGTGAACAGGTATGAAGAAGACTGTTCTCTGCCCTTCTTTTTGCAATAAAATGTTACAAACTATCTTGAGATTGATCCCTTTTCGGGTGTTTGGGTTTTTTTTAACATTCACATATTTCTTGGAATTATAAGAAATTAACTTTGTGCTTCTGAAGTGGGTTTCCCTTAATATAACACTGATGTATTTGTAAGGGGCATTTTTAAAGTTGTACTTTAAAAAATAATAATTCTTACATTCGTTTGAAGGTTTTTTGTTTGTTTGTTTGTTTGTTTTTGAGATGAAGGCTTGCCCTGTCACCCAGGCTGGAGTGCAGTGGCATTGATCTTGGCTCACTGCAACCTCTGCATCTGGAGTTCAAGCAATTCTCCTGCCTCAGCCTCCTGAGTAGCTGGGACTACAGGCACCTGCCACCACGCCCAGCTAATTTTTTGTATTTTTAATAGAGATGGGGTTTCACCGTGTTAGCCAGGATGGTCTCAATCTCCTGACCTCATGATCCACCCACCTCGGCCTCCCAAAGTGCTGGGATTACAGGCGTGAGCCGGGGGCCAACATGGTGAAACTCTATCTCTACTAAAAATACAAAATTAGCCGGGAATGGTGGTGTGCGCCTGTAATCCCAGCTACTCGGGAGGCTGAGGCATGAGAATCACTTGAACCTGGGAGGCAGAGGTTGCAGTGAGCTGAGATAGCGCCACTACAGTCCAGCCTGGGGGACAGTGAGACTCCATCTCAAAAAAAAAAAACAAAAAAAGAATAGAATAACTCTTGTTTAGGTGTTACAAAATCCAGGCCAGACCAATCTAAACTTTAATCTCATACCCAGTTCCTAGATGAGTCCCTTCTCCAGCTCAGGTTCGGCCTAAGCCTCAGGGTTCCTTGCTTGGTGGGCACCACCTGCTCCCTTCCCCGCCTTTGTTCCTCTTTTTCCTCTGCTGGCTCCTCCGGGGTTGGGTGTGTTCAGAGGCAGAGACAGGCTAAAGGTCTTTGGCTTTTAGGTTCTGTTGATGGGTGAGTTCCAGATATAGCTTTCTCTTGTAGGATATTTCATTTATTTATCTATTAAAAATATTTATTTAGAACACACCATTCATGTGCCAGACCCTGTTCCAGGAACTGGGGAGAGGGTGATAAATGAGATCAACAAAAATACCTGCCCACATTAAGCTCCTGTTCTAGGGAAGACAAAAAAGAAAGAAAATACACGTGTCCTTAGTACATTAGAAGGTTCCAAGTACTGTAGAGAAAAATAAAGTAGGTTGGACTCGGTGGCTCATGCCTGTAATCCCAGCACTTTGCGAGGCTGAGGTGGGAGGATTACTTGAGCTCAGGAATTTGAGACCAGCCTGGGCAACATGGCAAATCCTGTCTCTACCAAAATAAAAAAAAAAAAATTAGCTGGATATGGTGGCGTGCACCTGTAGTCCCAGCCACTGGGGAGGCTGAGGAGGGAGAATTGCTTCAGCCCAGGAGGTGAAGGTTGCAGTAAGCTGAGATCGTGCCATTGCACTCCAGCCTGAGTGACAGAGCCAAACCCTGTCTCAAAAACAAGGAAAGAAAGAAAATGAAAAAAAGAAAGCAGAGATGGGGCAAGCAGGGGAGAGGGCTGGTGCTGGGGTCACAGCGGAGGGGCTGGGGATGCACGGGAGGGGCTGGGGATGTGAGCTTTCCTGAGTTCCCACAGTTCTCTGCCCCTCTCCTGTCTCATGGCACAAGGGCCTCCTGGGGCTTGCGGTGGTTTTGCGCCAAGCTAATATCTTGTTCTTCCCAACAGACGGAGGCCCATTGAGGCTTCTGTGTCCTCCACGGGGACCAGCATTGGGCTAAACCTGCAGACACCATTGCAAAGGGAATTCAGGCAAACCCGCTGGTGAAAAATGATTCCAGCGTGGGGACAGAGGCTGACATTTCTCGCGTGGGTGATTTAATGTTGGGCCTCAATTTTTCACTCCCCCCGTAAGAGTATGACATAGCCACAACCTTGCCAGGGCCCGAGGGAGGGTGGATGGACTTATCCGTCCCATAGGTGTTGCTCGTGGCTGGGTGACTTGCTTCTGCCAACGAGATTTTCACAGACACGGCACAAGCAGAAGCCTGGAATGTGTGGGCACTGCCAGGCCTGCCGTCTAAGGCTCTTGATTTTCCCCATGAGATGCACGTGCCCCAGGGAACGGCGGCTCTGGCTGTGGGATGAGAGGCGTGTGGAGCAGTCATGGTTCCCATCCTTAGCCTGGAGTCAAGGCCAGACTAGATCAGCCTAAGCCCAGCCACGCCACGGGTGCAGGAGTGAAGAGCAAATGCTAACTGTCCATGGAATTGACTTTCAAAGGGGCGTGTCATGTGCCTCATCCCAGCAACAGGGAAGGCATTTCTCTATCAGTCAGTTGGTAAATGATTATTGACAAACAATGTGCTGGGAAGGTGGAGTGATTTGAGTAGATTTGGCCTCTATTCTCATGGAGCTTCCTTTCTAGAGGGGAAGGCAGATGATGGATGGATAAATATAAATGATTCTAATAGGTTGGTGCAGCAGTCATTAAAAGTAATGGCGAAAAAAAAAACAAAAGAAACGGGGAGGAGCCGTTGCTGCCGTTCATTAATAGTAATGGCAAAACCCGCGATGACTTGTGCGCCAACCTAACCCAGTAACCACGGGTGTGCAAATGTGGCAATGGGCAAGTTCCGAGTGCTAGGAGAGCATCTAGCTTCCCGGAGTCAGGAGACGGGGGTTGGCAACCTAACCAAGGTTAAGTCCAAGTGAGGGGGGTGGGCAGGGAGCGATATTTCAGTGGAGACTCCAAGGATGAATGGTATTTAGAGAGTAAACCCCGATAGGGTGTTTGTCTGGCACAGAGAAGAGCCTGTGCAAAAGCTGGTGGGGTGAGAGGACACCGTGTATTCATCCACCTGAGGGGCGACCAGCAGGCTGGAGCTCAGTGGGTTGAGAGGAGGATGCAGAGCCCGGGAAAGGCACCCTAGGCAGAGGGCACAGAAGCGCAAAGGCCTGGAGTGAGGCCTGAGCCTGTGTGGTTTGAGGAACGGACAGAGGCCTGTCCGTCAGGAAGGGAACGGCACCGGGGAGAGACCTTAGGCCACAGCAGAGGGCAGGGCAGAGGGCAGGGCCGTGCTGGGCACTGTGGGCTGTGGATGGTGCTGGCATTTAAGAGGGGAGACCATAGACCAGGGCAGAGGGCAGGGCCGTGCTGGGCACTTCGGGCTGTGGATGGGAGCTGGCATTTATGCTCAGGTGATGGGAATGTGTTAAAAGATTTTAAGGAGGGGAGTAACAGTTGGGATTAATGTGTATTCTGGGAATCTCAACAAAGTAAATTCATAGTTTGAATTTTCATAAGACTTCTGCACAGGCAGAGAGAAATAAGATCATGTCTACAGCTGTGTGATGATTTTATTGAAAAACATTACTAAGTTTTTAAACGTGATTTCAAATGGTGTGTTTCTGTTTCACCTTGGACATAAGTAGATTGCAAGGCTAATGGAAAGTAGAAAAGTTAATTCATGAACATAAAAGAGATATCAATTTGAAAACAAAACGTTTATTCATTTACTTCCGCTGCAGATTTCTTGACTGCTGAATTTCATGAGAAGGGATTGTTCAGGGAGGGACATGGGGCTGAAGACCTGGAGAGGAGGTGGTGCTACCGCTGTTCAAATCTGAGGGTGGTGGAGATGGAGCCTTGGGGAGGAGCAGGTGCTGCCTTTTAAGTCTATGAGAGTCGTTGAGCTGGAGGTCCAGGGAGGAGCCAGTGCTCCCACTGATGTCTTAGGTTGTGGAGCTGAAGACAATGAAGGAGCCAGTGTGGCTGTTCTGTGAGACTCGTGGAGCTGGAGATCCAGGTGGGAGAGGTGTTTTAGCTCGGGGAAGAGCTGATGTTCTACCTTGAGGGTCGTGCAGCTGCAGACCCGGGGAGGAGCTGATGTTCTAGATTGAGGGTCGTGCAGCTGCAGACCCGGGGAGGAGCTGATGTTCTAGATTGAGGGTCGTGCAGCTGCAGACCCGGGGAGGAGCTGATGTTCTAGATTGAGGGTCGTGCAGCTGCAGACCCGGGGAGGAGCTGATGTTCTAGATTGAGGGTCGTGCAGCTGCAGACCCGGGGAGGAGCTGATGTTCTAGATTGAGGGTCGTGCAGCTGCAGACCCGGGGAGGAGCTGATGTTCTAGATTGAGGGTCGTGCAGCTGCAGACCCGGGGAGGAGCTGATGTTCTAGATTGAGGGTCGTGCAGCTGCAGACCCGGGGAGGAGCTGATGTTCTAGATTGAGGGTCGTGCAGCTGCAGACCCGGGGAGGAGCTGATGTTCTAGATTGAGGGTCGTGCAGCTGCAGACCCGGGGAGGAGCTGATGTTCTAGATAGAGGGTCATGCAGCTGAAGACTCGGGGAGGAGCTGATGTTGTAGTTTGAGGGTCATGCAGTTGAGGACTTTGGGAGGAGCTGATGTTGTTCGTGTTGAGGGTCTTTCAGCTGGGGACTCAGGGAGGAGCTGATAATCTTGATTAAGGGTCATGGAGCTGGAGACCCAGACAGGAGCTGATGTTCTAGTTAGTGGATCTTCCAGCTACAGAGTCAGAGAGGAGCTGATGTTCTAGATTGAGGGTCATGCAGCTGAATACTCGGGGAGGAGCTGATGTTGTAGTTTGAGGGTCATGCAGTTGAGGACTTCGGGAGGAGCTGATGTTGTTCACGTTGAGGGTCTTTCAGCTGGGGACTCAGAGAGGAGCTGATAATCTTGATTGAGGGTCATGGAGCTGGAAACCTAGACAGGAGTTGATGTTCTAGTTAGTGGATCTTCCAGCTGCAGACCCAGGGAGGAGCTGATGTTCTAGTTTGAGGGTCGTGCAGCTGAAGACCCGGGGAGGAGCTGATGTTCTAGATTGAGGGTCGTGGAGCTGCAGACGCGGAGAGGAGCTGATGTTCTAGTTTGAGGGTCGTGCAGCTGGAGACCTGGAGAGGAGCTGATGTTCTAGTTTGAGGTTCTTGCAGCTGCAGACCTGGAGAGGAGCTGATGTTCTAGATTGAGGGTCGTGCAGCTGCACACTTGGAGAGGAGCTGATGTTCTAGATTGAGGGTCTTGCAGCTGCAGACCTGGAGAGGAGCTGATGTTCTAGTTTGAGGATCTTGCAGCTGCAGACCCGGAGAGGAGCTGATGTTCTACTTTGAGGGTCGTGCAGCTGGAGACCTGGAGAGGAGCTGATGTTCTAGTTTGAGGGTCATGCAGGTGAAGACTCGGGGAGGAGCTGATGTTCTAGTTTGAAGGTCTTGCAGCTGCAGACCTGGAGAGGAGCTGATGTTCTAGTTTGAAGGTCTTGCAGCTGCAGACCTGGAGAGGAGCTGATGTTCTAGATTGAGGGTCGTGCAGCTGAAGACTCGGGGAGGAGCTGATGTTCTAGATTAAGGGTCATGCAGCTGAAGACTCAGGGAGGAGCTGAGGTTCTAGTTTGAGGGTCGTGCAGCTGAAGACTTGGGAGGAGCTGAGATTCTAGTTTGAGGGTCGTGCAGCAGAAGACTCAGGGAGGAGCTGATGTTCTAGATTGAGGGCCCTACAGCTGCAGACCTGAAGAGGTGCTGATGTTCGAGATTGAGGGTCGTGCAGCTGAATACTCGGAGAGGAGCTGATGTTATAGTTTGAGGGCCCTACAGCTGAAGACCCGGAGAGTATCTGATCTTCGAGATTGAGGGTCATGCAGCTGAAGACTCCGGGAGGAGCTGAGTTGCTAATTTGAGGGTCTTGCAGCTGCTGACTTGGGGAGGAGCTGATGTTCTAGTTTGAGGGCCCTACAGTTGGAAATCTGTACAGGAGCTGATGTTCTAGTTTGAGGGTCATGCAGGTGAAAAATCGGGGAGGAGCTGATATTCTAGTTTGAGGGCCCTGCAGCTAGAGATGCAGACAGGAGCTGATGTTGTAGTTTGAGGGTCGTACAGCTGAAGATTCAGGGAGGAGCTGCTCGTGTATTTTTAGGGTCATGCAGCTGCAGACCCGGAGAGGAGCTGATGTTAAAGATTGAGGGTCATGCAGCTGAAGACTCTGGGAGGAGCTGACGTTCTAATTTGAGGTCCCTACAGGTGGACACCGAGAGAGGAGCTTATGTTCTAGATTGAGGGTCATGCAGCAGAAGACTCGGGGAAGAGCTGAGGTTGTAGTTTGAGGGTCGTGCAGCTGGAGAACCAGACAGGAGCTGATGTTGTAGATTGAGCGTCGTGCAGCTGAAGACTCAGGGAGGAGCTGATGTTGTTCGTTTTGAGGGTGTTTCAGCTGGAGACTCAGGGAGGAGCTGACGTTCTAGATTGAGGGTCTTGCAGCTGCAGACCTGTAGAGGAACTGATGTTCTAGATTGAGGGTCACGCAGCTGAAGACTTGGGGAGAAGCTGATGTTCTAACTTGAGGGTCGTGCAGCTGAGGACTCGGGGAGGAGCTGATGTTGACAGCTGTGCAGCTGGAGATCCGGCGGGGAGCTGATGTTCCGGTTTGAGGGCCGGGGAGCTGATGTTCCAGTTTGATGGCCGTGCACCTGGAGACCCAGGGAGGAACATCAAACTGGAACATCTGCTCCCCGCAGTGCCTCCAGCTGCATGGCTCCCAAACTGGAACATCGGTTCCCACCCGGGTCTCCAGCTGCACGGCCCTCAAACTGCAACATCGGCTATCCCCGAGTCTCCAGCTGCACGGCCCTCAAACTGGAACATCAGCTTCTCCCCAAGTCTTTCAGCTGAATGGCCCTCAAACTGGAACTTCAGCTCCCCACCGGGTATCCAGCTGCATGGCCCTCAAACTGGAAGTTCAGCTCCCCACCGGGTCTCCAGCTGCACGGCCCTCAGACTGGAACATCAGCTCCCCACTGGGTCTCCAGCTGCACGGCCCTCAGACTGGAACATCAGCTCCCCACCGGGTCTCCAGCTTCACGGCCCTCAAACTGGAACTTCAGCTCCCCAACGGGTCTCCAGCTTCACGGCCCTCAAACTGGAACTTCAGCTCCCCACCGGGTATCCAGCTGCATGGCCCTCAAACCGGAAGTTCGGCTCCCCCGCGGGTCTCCAGCTGCACGGCCCTCAGACTGGAACATCAGCTCCCCGCCGGGTCTCCAGCTGCACGGCCCTCAAACTGGAATAGTTTGAACTCAGCGGGGAGCTGATGTTCCAGTTTGAGGGCTGTGCAGCTGGAGACCCGGCAGGGAGCTGATGTTCCGGTTGTAGGGCTGTGCAGCCGGAGACCCAGGGGGAAGCTGATGTTCCAGTTGTAGGGCCGTGCTACTGGAGACCCAGGGGTGGAGCTGATGTTCCAGTTTGAGGGCCATGCAGTTGATGACCCGGCGGGGAGCTGATGTTCAAGTTTGAGGTCTGTGCAGCTGGAGACCCGCGGGGGAGCTGATGTTCCAGTTTGATGGCCATGCAGCTGGAGGCTCTGATGGGAGCTGATGTTGCAATTTGAGGGCCATGCAGCTGGAGACCTGGCGGGGAGGTGATGTTCCAGTTTGAGGGCCATGCAGCTGGTGACCTGGCAGGGAGCTGATGTTCCAGTTTGAGGACCGTGCTCCTGGAGACCTAGCGGGGAGCTGATGTTCCAGTTTAAGGCCATGCAGCTGTATGCCCGGGGGGAACTGATGTTGCAGTTTGAGGGCCGTGCATCGGGAGACCCGGTGGGGAGCCAGTGTTGCAGGTTGAGGGCCGTGCAGCTGGAGACCCTGTGGGGAGCTGATGTTCTTGTTTGAGAGCCGTGCAGCTGGAGACCCTGTGGGGAGCTGATGTTCCTGTTTGAGAGCTGTGCAGCTGGAGATCTGGTGGGGAGCTGATGTTCCAGTATGAGGGCCGTGCGGCTGGAGACCTGGTGGGGAGCTGATGTTCCAGTTTGAGGGCCGTGCACCTGGAGACCCGGCAGGGAGCTGATGTTCCAGTTTGAGGGCTGTGCAGCTGGATACCGGGGGTGGAGCTGATGTTCCAGTTTGAGGGCCATGCATCTGGAGACCCAGTTGGTAGCCAGTGTTGCAGGTTGAGGGCTGTGGAGTTGGAGACCCGGGTTGGGGGGAGCTGATGTTCCAGGTTGAGGGCCATGCTGCTGGAGACCCAGCGGGGAGCTGATGTTGCAGTTTGAGGCGGTGCAGCTGGACATGCAGGGGGGAAGTGATGTTGCAATTTGAGGGCTGTGCAGCTGGAGACCCTGTGGGGAGCTGATGTTCCTGTTTGAGGGTCTCGGAGCTGATGTTCCAGTTTAAGGCCATGCAGCTGGAGACCCGGTGGGGAGCTGATGTTCCAGTTTGAGGGCCATGCATCTGGAGACCCGGTGGGGAGCTGATGTTGCAGGTTGAGGGCCATTCATCTGGAGACCCAGTGGGGAGCTGATGTTGCAGGTTGAGGGCTGTGCACCTGGAGCCCCGGGGTGGAGCTGATATTCCAGTTTGAGGGCCGTGCAGCTGGCAATCTGGTGGGGAGCTGATGTTCCAGTTTGAGGGCCATGCAGCTGGAGACCGGGCAGGGAGCTCATGTTCCAGTTTGCAGGCAGTGCAGCTGGAGACCCGGCGGGGAGCTGATGTTCCAGTTTGAGGTCCGTGCAGCTGGAGATCTGGTGGGGAGCTGATGTTCCAGTTTGAGGGCCCTGCAGCTGGAGACCCGTGGGGATCTGATGTTCCAGTTTGAGGGTGGTGCTGCTGGCGACCCAGGCGGGAGCTGATGTTCTAGTTTTAGGGCCCTACAGCTGGAGACCCGGGGAGGAGCTGACATTCCCTTTCGAGGGCTGTGCAGGTGGAGACCTGGGGAGGAACTGATGTTGTTCTAATTTGAGTGTGGTGCAGCTGGAGATCCAGGGATGAGATGGCCCTGCGGTTCAAATATGAGGGTCCCGGAGCTGGACTCTACGTGAGGAACCAATGCTGCCTCTGATGTCTTAGGTTGTGGAGCTGGAAACTCGCGGAGGAGCTGGTATTGGTGTTTCTAGTTGAGGGTCGTGGTATTTCCAGGGTTTCACAGAGGCCAGATTTTATTTCAGTTACTCAGAAGAGAAAGAAAATGTCTTCTGAAAGAGGTGAACTCAGTCATTACCAATAGAAAAAGTATCCACTGTATTTATCTCTTATACAAACAGAAAAATATAACATTTTCCCCCTTAGAATATATATATATATATATATATATATATATATATATATATATATATATATATAAAACTTAAGGTTCTATTGTATGTATCCGAACAATAAAATCTGGAAACCAGCATGAAACTCTATTATTCACATGTTAAAATGTTGAAACTATGACCAAAATATGAAAACTGCTGGAGCTATCAGAAAGACACAAGACAAAAAGCTTCTTGCATATGTATAAACTAAATGTGATAATCTCAAAAAACTGTTCAAAATTATAATTACTTTCCAGTTTAAAAACTTTAATCCTAAATTAAAAAAAAAAATCTATACACAAACCACTGATTTGCCCAGACCAAAGAAAGAAAGAAAGAAAGAAAAGAAAGAAAGAAAGAAAGAAAGAAAGAAAGAAAGAAAGAAAGAAAGAAAGAAAGAAAGAAAGAAAGAAAAAGAAATCAGCGGTAAGGTAAGCAGGACCCAGAGGAGCTGATATTCACAGTTCTTACATGGACAACTCTTTCAGGAATTATCCATAAAGTACTTTATTTTACAACCTGCTTTTCTTATAAAACTAAAGGTGCACTTTTTTACATAAAAGTTTTATACAGTGTTAAAACCAGAACTGTGTGTAAAATACTGCATGTAAATGTTTCTAAATAGTCTTGTTCCAGTGGTTCATCGGTGACTTCTGTGGCTTCGTCATCATTATCCATGGATGATTCTGAAAGAATCTCTCCAGTTTTACTGGAATTGGATCCTACTAATTCTTCTGTTTCACGGCAGTCAGAAGAACCACTACTTTCAGGGCCTTCGTTTTCACTACCTTCAGAATGTAGTAAATCTTTCTCAGCTTGAGACACATCAGATTCCTCCATTTCATTATTTTCCTCAGAAGTCTCTTCATTCACAGTTGAGGCATCATCAGATTCTTTTTCTTGGTTTTTTCTTTCTGGGACCATTTCTCTTGATGTCATAAAAGACTCTAAAAATAAGCAAATGTTGTTGTACTTAAATTTTATATTCAAAATACCTCCACAGTTAAGTTTCGTGAATTCTGATGTTCTGTAGTTCAAATCACATCCCCTGAAATTCAGCAGCAACTGCATACAGGTGGGAGAAAAGCCCAGCGTCGACATTACAAGGAGTTCCATGATGTACAATTCTTTCACAAAAACAATGAATGCAAGAATTTGAGGATCTCCTTACTCCTCCCTTTTACAGATGGTCTCTCAATCCCTTCTTCTTCCTCTTCATCTTCATCTTCTTCTGAACGCGCTGCCGGGTACCATGGCTTTTTTTGTCTTTATCATGAGATGAAGGTGATGCTTCTGTTTCTTCTACCATAACTGAAGAAATTTCGCTGCAAGTCGCTTGACTGGCTATTTCTCCGACTTCGCCTTTTTTGTCAAACCTGAGTCTTTTTACCTCATGCCCCTCAGCTTCCACAGCATCTTCATCTGGATGTTTATTTCTCAAAGGGCTCACTGAGGAAACTTCTGATTCAGATGTCGAAGAGTCACTGAGTTTTCTCTTCATTTTGCTGCAAATTTGCCTCTTTGCTGTCTGTGCTCTCAGGCCACCCATTTGTTGTCATGGGGGCTGACAGAGAAACCTTTGGTCGATTACGTGGCCTGGGTGTCCCAGGCCCATTTATATTAGACCTCTCAGTATAGCTTGGTGCATTTCCAGGAAACATCACACCATTCATTCGATTTAAACTATTGGAATTGTTTTTCTCTGAAGAAGGATAAACACAGCTAACAACCATCACGTTCTTTTCTACTCCTCTGAGAAATTTGTCTGTTCCTGTATAGTTTCTCCTCGGATCTGTTAACAATTCACATAATCGCTGAATAGTAAAAGGGATACGGTTAAATCCAGTGACAGTTTTTCAGTATTCTTCCCTTTGTTTCATCACAGGGAATATATTCGACATTAGGGTTGGGAGGACCTCTTGGCGCAGGAGCTGAAGTTCTGAAATCATCCATCACTTTCTCCAGTTTGAAAATAAAATAGCCTTTAAATTGGGACCACGGAATCTGTTTCTCCAGTCTTGGCTACATGACAAAAGGAACTGATCCAGGACAGGACAGACTTTCTTTTTTGCCTCTTCTCAAAATCTTCCAGCGCCTCCTGGAGCCTGTCGACGTCCATGGCTTCCCGGAGTCCCTCACAGCCTCCGCCTCCCTCCGCGGGTCTCTTGGGGACCGGAACGCCTCCCCCCACCCCCCGACGTCCTCCCACTCCCTCGCACACCCTCCAGCACGCAGGCCAAGTGGGGTGGGGGGGAACGAAGGGAGCCGGGGAAGCGTGTGAGAGAGTGAGACCGACAGAGTGAGCACCTCCCCAAGCCGCTACCACCAGCCCTCCAACATGGCGCCTGGCACATCACCCTAAAAAGTCATTTCTTGGAGAAGCGATGGATGACAGAGATTAATCTGAGAGTTACTATTAATGGAGAAACTTAGAACTTACCATTTTTCCTGTGAGGTTTCGGTGCTGATACTTCTATTCTGTGAGTTCTGGCAATTGTGTCCGTTCACCCAGCCTGGTGATGCAGCAGGTGTCACAGAAGGACCCTGTCCCAGCTGGTCCTGCTCCACTGCTAGGATGGTGTGGCCTCTGATCTGTGACCGTGTCTTGAGGGGAGACCAGGCCCTTGATCACAAGCGTATCCATGGTGAGGTTCCGTGGATGGAAGCTCATGGATGTTCCTTCCTGATGTTCATCTGCCACCATGCTATTGAATGCATCTTGTTTATAACTGTCTTCTAAATATTGAATAGAAATAAAGCGTTTTTACAGTATGGGTAAGGTATAAAGAATATTGACACATTGGACACAGAGGACCTCCACCAAGTTTAGGGAGTAGAATCTGAAGAGACATAGCTTTGGATGCTCCCTGGAGGCCCTGCCTGAGTCCCAGTCCCTTCCCTTCTCCTACGGAGGGAATCACTTCCTGCTTTAGTCTTTATTATTTGCACACTTTCCTTCATAGTATGTTTCTTTCACCGTGTGTGTACATCCCTAAAAGATATGCCATTTAGTTTTTGAACTTTCTGTTTTCTTTTTGAGGCAGGGTCTTGCTCTGTTGCCTCGGCTGTAGTTTTGAACTTTGACGTGAGGGAATTCTCCTGCGTGGCTGCTCCTGCACTGCATGGCTCTGAGCACCTGCTCTGTGTCTATTTTTGTCCTCCATTCTCTCCCTGAGACCCACCCACACTGACATGGCTCATTTTCATTGCTGCATGGTCTCCCGTCGTCTGAGGGGAGCATGGGAAATGTCTTCATCTTCCCGTGGATGAGTGTTTGGCCAGGTTGGGGCCCTTAGGACTGTGTTTTGTTGGGAACGTTCTTGGGCATTTCTTTTGTACACAAGCGCAAGTTTCTTCTGGTCAGTAGCTTTCAAATTTTAAAATTTCATCCCAGGTAAAAATGTAATTTTCCTCATAACCCACAACACACACACTTTCATATACAAGCATAGCAGAAATATACTTCACAAGCGTTAGCAGTGCCTGGTGTTCCTGCTTCTCTCCATTCTCCCCAACGCTGGCATGGATTGGGTTGTGGGATTTTTGCCCGTCTGGTGGTTGTCACGTGATATCTCCCCCTGTTAGGCTGAGCCCCTCTTCATGTTTTCATTAGCCATTCCTCCACATTTCCTCTTCTGTGGAGGGCCGGTTCAGCTCTTTTGCCCAGTTTCTGTTAAGTTGTTTGAATTTTTGCACTTTTCCTTTATTATTCCTATTACTATGTTTTTGAGACAATATCACTCTGCCACCCAGGCTGGAGTGCAGTGGCGCGATCTCAGCTCACTGCAACCTCCATCTTCTGGGTTCAAATGATTCTCCTGCCTCAGCCTCCCAAGTGGCTGGGATTACAGGCACGCACCACCACGCCCAACTAATTTTTATATGTTTACTACAGATGGGGTTTCACCATGTTGTCCAGGCTGGTCTGAAACTCCTGACCTCAGGTGATTCTCCCACCTCAGCCTCCCAAAGTGCTGGGATTATGTGGGTGGCAAGCCACCCAGGCACCGAGGCAAGAGACAGAGGACACGAGCTGTTCCAGTATAATAAAATATAAAACAAGAATAGTTATACCAGATATAGATCTTAGATATGATTATATATGAATATCATTAATCATTAGTTTGTAGCAATTACTTTTTATTCCAATATTATGATAATCCTTGCTCTATAATCGTAGCCTAGGAAAAACCAGGCCATACAGAGATAGGAGCTGAGGGGACATAGTGAGGTGTGACCAGAAGACAAGAGTGCGAGCCTTCTGTTATGCCCGGACCGGGCCACCAGAGGGCTCCTTGGTCTAGCGGTGATGCCAGCGTCTGGGAAGATGCCTGTTACCAGGCGGATAGCAAAAGGTGTCAAGGAACAACACCCGATACTTAGCAGACCGGGAAAGGGCGGGGAGGGGGGGGGGTCTCCCTTTCCCCGGGGGAGTTTAGAGAAGACTCTGCTCCTCCACCTCTTGTGGAGGGCCTGACATCAGTCAGGCTCGCCTGCAGTTATCCGGAGGCCTAACCGTCTCCCTGTGATGCTGTGCTTCAGTGGTCACGCTCCTAGTCCGCCTTCATGTTTCATCCTGTACACCTGGCTCTGCCTTCTAGATAGCAGTAGTAAATTAGTAAAAATACTAATAGTCCCTGATATGCGGAAATAATGGCATAAGCTGTCTTTCTCTCTGTCTCCTCTCCCTCTCTGCCTCGGCTGCCAGGCAGGGAAGGGCCCCCTGTCCAGTGGACACGTGACCCACGTGACCTTACCTATCATTGCAGGTGACTCACATTCTTTACCCTGCCCCTTCTGCCTTGTATCCAATAAATAACAGCGCAGCCAGACATTCGGGGCACTACCGTTCTCCGCGCATTGGTGGTAGTGGCCCCCCGGGCCCAGCTGCCCTTTCTCTTATCTCTTTGTCTTGTGTCTTTATTTCTACACTCTCTCGTCGCCGCACACAGGGAGAGACCCACCGACCCTGTGGGGCTGGTCCCTGCAGGGTTATAGGCATGAGCCACCATGCCCGGCCTGCTTTTTTCTTTTTCAAAAGGACTCTTTCTAGATTATACCTATTCATTCCGGTGACTATATGTGGGGCAAAGATGGGTTTGAATCCACCAGGATAAACGTGCCGGATCTCCTCTCTGATGGAAGAAGAGACAGGGATAGAAGGGTGCAGAGAATCAGAGCCAAGAGGAGGCCGAGTCAGGCGGGGGTTGCAGGCTGCTGTGAGGACTTGGCTGCTTCTCTGAGTCTGGTGGGATTAGCAGGGGATTTAAACAGAGGAACCGTGGGATCTCCCTTATGCATTTCTGCCATGGTTGGCTCAGCTGAACACACCTCTTGAGCAAGACTTGGTCTTGGACACCCAGAGGCCCTTGGTTGAGGGTTTACCTCCTGGCGTGGCCACTGACACATCCACGTTTGTCTCCCACACGGCTGGGCGGCCCCGAGACCTGCTGTGCGTGCCCTTCTCATTGGTGGCATTTCTCAAGTTTGTCCCCTCTCAAGTCTGCCCCATCCGGAAAACCAAACACCTCTCTCTCCTACATGGAAACCCCCGTCAGCACCTCCTCCTGACTCACAGGGCATCCCGTCAACATCACAGTCCCAACCTTCCCACATGGAGAAGCTCATGGGACCCCCGATGGACCAGGACAGTGCCAGCACTAAGACGTGCCCTGAAACTCACAGGAAGAGCGGACCAAGAAGCCGGGAACAGCACGGGGCACTGGGAGCTGCAAACGCCCACGATACTGTGAGAGACGGAGAAAGGTATGACAGGAGGAGCAGACCAAGAAGACGGGAACAGCACGGCGCACTGGGAGCTGCAAATGCCCACGATACCGTGAGAGATGGAGAAAGGTATGGCCATGGCGGTCACAAAATGTTCCTCAACATTTATTAAAGGCCTAAATGGAGAACATAACGCTATCAAACCCTTAGCTAAAAACACAGGGGAAAATTCGTATGGCCTGGGGTTAGGCGAAAAGTTCTTAGACATGACACCAAAAGCATGATTCATAAGATTGACAAATTAAATTTAGTCATAAATTTAAAATTATAATTCTATAAAGCAATATAAAAATCCAAAGAGAATGAAACATGAACTATGGTCTAGAAATAAACATTTGTGAATCACACGTCTCACAACCTACTGGCACGCAGGATATATGAAGAACCATCAAAACTTAACCATAAGAAAGTAAAAACCCCAGTATTAAAGAGAGGGCCAATATTGGAACGGAGGCCTCATCAAAGAAGGTATAAGGAGGGCATATTGCCCGAGAAAGAGGCTCAACATCATAGAGATGCTGGAGAAATGCCAGTCAGCAGTACCTCTGCAAATCCATTAAAATGGCTAAAAACAGACAAAACCCATGGGCCAACCCAGGTTCTAGTGATGATGCAGAGGAACTGGGACCCTCATAAGCTGCAGTGGGAATGGGAGGGGTCCCGCCATGCTGGAAAGTGGTCCTGGAGTTTCTTACGAAGTTAAGCACATCCTTACCATGTCATCCAGCAACCCCACTGCTGAAATGTCCCCCAAGGGAAAACTTAAACGTGCACACACAAACCTGCACACAAGTGTTTAGGCCTCATTCCTCATTGCCAATAACTGGAAGAAAACAAAATGTCCGTCGGCAGGAGCAGGAGAAGGCGTGAACTAACGCGGATGCTTCCACACAGGGGGCACCAACCAGCAGTGGAAAGATGCACCCAAATGCCCCAGGTCTCCCAGGCTACATGCCCGTTGAAGGAAGCTAGTTTCGGTGGGCACAGGCCAAAGGATGCCAACACATGACATCTTGGAGAAGACAGTGTACCGTGTCGGGGAGCAGGGCAGTGGTTTCGAGGGGCTACGGGTGGAGGGGCGAATGGAGGAGCTCTCTGGGGCGATGGCGTGAGCACCTGCACCTCACTGTGGGCTGCTGCGGCTGAGGGGCTGGTACGGCAAACACTGGCTTCAGTACATGCAGACTGAAGGAGGAAGGCTCCCACAACTCAGAGACAGAGGGTGTCGCCTCCATGAAACAAAAACATATTTTAAAAAAAAACCTCTTAAAATTAAGAAAAAAACCACAAAAAGTATTTCATAAGCGCATTGACTTTGAGTTGACACAATCTACCTGGGAGCATGGAACTGAAACCACAGGCTTGGCAATCCCGGAGGGAGAGGGTGGAGGGTTTAGACCTCAATTGAAGGGCTCAGTACCTGGCTATAGGAAATAACATTTAAAAAGCAGCAGGGTGGAAATAATTTCTGCTGATGAGGTTGCATCTCTCCAGATAGCCGGCAGAGTAAATTAAAGCAATATAGTCTTGCTCTGTTGCCCAGGCTGGAGTGAAGTGGCGCCATCTCCGCTCACTGTAAGCTCCGCGGGAGAATCTCTTGAACCCTGGAGGCAGAGGTTGCGGTGAGCCGAGATCCCGCCATTCCACTCCAGCCTGGGCAACAAGAGCGAAACTCCGTCTCAAACCAAACAAAATTAGGTAACTAACCCAGGACTAAAACAGCGTAACTTTAAAAAAATAAGTCTAGGAGGTATGATGTTCATTCCCTGCAAGCCAATAAAGGTCACGTCTGGGGCATACATCTAAAAAAATAATCCTAAAGAGAAAGTTATGGTCACAAATATGTTCTGTATGGTGTTATTAAGAGCAAAAATGGGAAACAACCCAAATATCAGTAAAATGGGACTGAACCCTTGCAAATTTACTAAAATAAAATTGTTAAACATGATGCACAAGACGAAGATTTTAATAAAGTGAAAAGACAGGAAACATACTTACTAATGATTATTGGTTTATTTTTCATGCCACTTCATTCCACAAAAAGATTTCAGATATCTTAGAAAAAGACACACTAGAAATATTAAAATACTATCTGAACCAGAAGCAGAATCAGGGTAAGCTAGCAGAAAGGCGTATGAGCCAAAGGGATCTACCCAGCTTTCAAAGCTGACCACGGCCGTGCGCAGTGGCTCTGTCTGTAATCTCCGCACTTGGGGAGGCCGAGGAGGTAGGATCGCTTGAGGCCACAAGTTCGAGACCAGCCTGGGCAACAGAGCAAGATCCCGCCTCTACCAAAAATTTAAAAATCAGCCGGAAGCCAGACACTAGGGACATGGCTGAGGATCGCTCCCGCCCCTCGGAGGCCAGAAACCGAGGGTCACTCCCGCTCTCTAGAGGCCGGAGGCCCCGGGCCGCTCCCGCCCACCTCCGCGGACGAGCGCCGCCCCTTCGACCCCATTCCCTGAGGTCTGGACGTTCAGGCCCTCTCGGTCTGGGAGATCCCGGAGAACCACCCACGGGGCTTTAAAAAATGTTGGTGCCCAACATCTCCCCGAAATAGGGCCCGCCCTATCTCGGTCGGGGAGCGCGGGACCTCCGTGGCCACCCAGCGCCACCGTCCGCGGGTCCGCTTTGCGCAGGCGCGGCGTCCCCGCCCATTAGACCCCTGCCCGGGCGTGTCGTGGTGCGCAGGCGCGATGTCCCCCACTAGCGCCCCGCCTTGACCCGGCCGTGGTGCGCAGGCGCAGTCTGCGCAGGGACTGGCGGGACTGCGCGGCGGCGACTACAGACGTGTCGGGGGTCCGGGGCCTGTCGCGGTTGCCAAGCGCTCGGCGCTTGGCGCTGGCGCTGGCCAAGGCGGTGAGTCCCTGCCGCGGACCGGGGCAGGGCAGGCGGGGGGCGAGGCGGCGGTAGGAGCGGGACGGTCCCCAGCGGGTCCGAGCGGAGCGGGCGCCGGGTGCCCGCGCCCCCTGCCCGGGGATCGGGAAGGGGCTGGGAGAGCCCTGGGCCGGTGCGAGGGGGAGCCGCGGAGTGTACTCGGGGGCCTGGGGAGCTCGGTCCTTAGCAGGTAGGCCGCGTCCCGGTGAAGGTCGCGACCCCGCGGGCTTGCTGGGCGTCCCCTCCGCCGCTTTGGTCCGGGCCTGGGGTCCGGCGACCTCGCGGGCTGAGGTAGCCCCTCGCCTCTGCCTGGCGGGTGGACTCGGGGAGGAGTCGTGTCTGCCCAAGGTCACCGGGGTGGAGTCCTGGCTGGGCCGGGCCTCTGCCGCCCTCTGTGAGGGTTGTCCTGCGGGGCCGCCCGCAGCCCGTGGGTGGGGCCGGCGGGGCGGGTGAAACCGCCTGGGTGGGTGCGAGGAGTGGCCGGGCTCGGCCGGGTGGGTGTCCGGTGGGAAGCGCGGCGCGCCCGAGCTTGGGCTTGCAGTTCCCCTTTCCAGAGAGCGCAAATCTGTGCATGTCCACTTCGGGATCTTGGAAGTTAAGGACCTGTACTTTGGGTCCCGTTTGGTGGCCCTTGTGCCACAAAAATGTGCCGGTGTTTAAAAGCAGCTGTGCCAGTTTTTAAAAATCAGACGGAGAGCTCAGGGCACTGACCGAGCGAGGACTCCAGGACCTGTGCTTGCCTGTGCGCTGAGTACCTCGAGGGCCGGGCTCGGCTTAGTCCAGGATGATGGTCAGGGTTATACTTCCCTGAGCCCTTGCTCTCTGAGTGTCTGAATGTGCCCTCTACGATTGCATCTTCAGAATCGGCCTTCTAGGATTTCATTTAATCAAGCGAAATTGGATAGGTTTAGTTGTTTGGTTCTTTTAAATGAACTTAGCCACCCACCTCTTAATTACAAAGTAATTTTAAATTGCAGAGTAAAAATCTCAATAGAGGAACCAAGGCATTCAGCAATATTGATTTGAATTATGCCTGTGATTGTGCAATTTTCTCCTTTTTGAAATAGTTATTGAAAATCTCTTTGAATTAAATGTGAGGATTAGTCATACAGCCATCCTGTCAACATCGGAAAGCGTGTAAACCGTTCTAGCGTGTTGCTGTGGTTGGTGCTGACTGAGCAGAGACCCCCGCCGCATCTTGGGCTCTTAGGAGCTGCTGGGAGGGCGTCCACAAGCAGGAGGTGAAGCCCATGGTCAGTGGGACTTTTTAGGGGCAATGGTAGCTTGTGGTTGGAGAGAAGCTAGATAGAGCCAGTGCCTTTGTCCCCAACCCAGATGGTGCCCAGTGTTCCTTCTGCAGACTAAGGCCCCAGGCACCTCAGACCAGATGGCAAGATAGCAAAATGGAACCAAAATTTAGTCTTGGGTTTTGTAAAAGTCTTTTTATCTTGATGAAGGTAGCTTTTCCTACAGAAAGTCGTGCGTTTTTGGGTTCTTCGTTGGCTGCTTTTGTGATTGTGTAGGCTGTACATGCAGATTCGTTTCTTGCTCATGATTTATAGGTGCATTTTATTCGATGAGGACCCCTTACTTTGCTAGATTTCGGATATGAATGTCTCTGCACTTGTTACTTTTCCCCCTCCACCTCCTGATTCAGTCATCTGAAATTCTGTATTGTTAAGCAAGGTCTAAGTATTCCTTTTAGTTATATGTTCCCCATGTTTTTTCTTAGAGGAAATGTTTGATAGTTTCTCCTAAAAAATTAATAATTGGCACAAAAGACTAGTTTTGTGTCAAAAGTAGTTTTGAGTTTTATCTAAAGACTGACATTGGCTTGAAGTTGGGCTTTCCAGATTCAAAAATCTGCCCCAGATGAGATTTAGATGCAGAGGGTTAGTGTCCTTTTCCCCAGGGGGATGGCGTGATGATTTGTTCAAGATTGTGTTATAGTAGCTGCCCCTTTTAAGGCAGCTGTGTGTGTGTGTGGTGGGGAGTGGGCAGTGTGTATTCCACATCAACATCCTAGAAAGAACGAATAAACATTTAGTGATCTCACTGTTTCTACTTACATTTGGTATAATGTACTGTTTTTATTGGTGCTATTACCTATGTTAATAGGGCACTTTACAAAATTTTCAAGAACGTTTTTATTAAAATTATTTCAAAGACTTCTTTCTTAAAATATGATTTTACCATGTAAAAAATTATACTAAGGTAGAAGAATATTCGTTCTTTCTCATTTTCTGAAAAAAGAAAAAACTAAATTAGCTTATGTCAATAAAAACAGACTAGAAATTGGAGAAATGAAGAATAATTTTTTATCCCACATAATAAGTAATTTGTGAATTGCAAGTATTTCTAAATACTTGAAGACATCCCTCACATCCCCTCTTCTGATTGCTGAGTGCATAATTTCCTAAAGCTTTTTTTTTTCTTTTGTTTTTTTGGAGACATTGTCTCGCTCTGTCGCCCAGGCCGGAGTACAGTGGCACAGTCTCGGCTCACTGCAACCTCTGCCTCCTGGGTTCAAGCGATTCTCCTGCCTCAGCTTCCCAAGTAGCTGGGATTACAGGTGCCCGCCACCACGACCAGCTAATTTTTAGTAGAGAGGGGGTTTTGCCATGTTGGCCAGACTGGTCTCGAACTCCTGACTTCAGGTGATCTGCCCACCTTGGCCTCCCAAAATGCTGGGATTACAGGCATGAGCCACCACGCCCAGCCCCTAAAACTATTCTTGATGATATTTCTGAGACTATTCAGTGGTCTTCTAAAATGCCGCCAGCAGAATGGAAAACGTATCCCCTAAATGGCTGGCCAACCTTAGCATATGGGACAGTGTGACCTCTCTCACACAGAGCCACTAAAAACTAAACACTAAAACCAGTTTTCTTGAGTAAAGGTTTCTAAGATGGAAAATTTAAGCAGTGAGATATGTCAAGTTGTAGACGTTGGCCAGGAAAAAGCCAGCATCAACCAGGCAGGGGAGAGTGTGCATCCGACATCCTCCTGTGTGATGAAGGGATGACACCTCTTCCCTCTGGGCTGTCAGCCTTTACTGTTCCAGGATACAGATCTCCTGATTCAGGTGTCCAGTGCCTTTTGAACTGACCGCAAGCCCTCCTGGACGATTGGAACTGTAATGTGGAAAGGGCTCTGATGGAGCCGGTTAAAATGCTTCATTATTTGCAAAATACCACATACAGTAATACGATCTGGATGTCTTTCCCCTCCTCCACTAAGTAGCATAAGTGAAGACTTCCCAGAGGAAGTGCGTCTTTTTCATCTCGTATCTGAGTCAGTGAGTATCCTTTTTGGAAACAAGCTTCATCCTGGTTTTCTAGAGTGCCAAGTCAGGGTGGAAAGGAGGACCTGGGGGCTCAGTCCTTCCTTGCCCCTTGGGCTGCCCTTCAGGGTTAAATAGAGGGTCCCAGCTGAGCTCTCTGGATGCACAGGAGCACCTGGGTACATAAGAAGGTGAACAGTTTTCAAGGGGAAGTTTGAATTACTATCCCCCACAGCATTTGTTCCTTCAGGACACTAACCCTCTGGATCTGTGTCTTCTGTGTCTCCAGTGGCCAACAGTGTTGCAAACAGGAACCCGAGGTGTTCACTTCACTGTTGAAGGAACGAGAGGGCATCTGCTAAAGTTTCAGATTCCGTAAGTTCATGCTTTTTGTTCCATTATAAATGATTTTTTTGGCTTGGGGGTAAGGATCTATACCAGTTTGTTTTCATATGAGTCATAGACATAAGGGAAAAATTTCTCATAGGTATCCAATGCATGCTGAAATTATTTTCAGTGTAATAATACTTAATTGCAAGTACCAATATAAACATAGATGTTAACATTTTTACTTGTATCTGTTATGTATCTATAAATTAGATTTAAATTTAGGTCAAGTAAAGCAATAAATTAAAATGAACAGTATCTGCTGTGATAGATGATAAAATCCTACTGAAAAGAGGACCGTGGGGCCCTTCCGGTGTGGGTTCCTTGGTATTGAGTGTGCCTGTTCTCTCTCTGTTGGAAAACTGAAACGTGCTGAGAAGTTCTTTTCTCATAAGCTCACAATAGCGACTGAATGCTCCTTGGTACCTTCTCAGGCATAAGCATAGGCACGGCCCTGAAGTAGAGTTGTGGTCCTCAGTCTGATCCCATGGAATAGACCCTCTACCATTCATAGAATCTGATTATCAGTCCCTTCTCCAGGTGCGAATGTGCCTACTTCTCCCTGCACTGTTCAGGGCTCAGCCCCAGGACAGGATGGAGGCCCTGTGTGCCCAGCAGTTGCTCCTTTTATCTTTGTCAAGCTCTTTCACTGGCACAAGAGTCTTCATGTTTGGCATAGTGGAACCTGTGCTTGACAGGTGAATTTTTCTTTTCCAGATTTCTGCTCAGTATCCAGTAGTGGATCATGAATTTGATGCAGTGGTGGTAGGCGCTGGAGGGGCAGGCTTTGCGAGCTGCATTTGGCCTTTCCGAGGCAGAGTTTGATACAGCATGTGTTACCAAGCTGTTTCCTACCAGGTCACACACTGTTGCAGCGCAGGTAAGAGAAAGGTGCCCCACTGTGCTCCCACTCCGTGCAGGTCCCGCGCAGCCTCGCACTTTCTACCTGGGCAGCCTCCTGCCTCCTCCCTGTGCTCCAGCCACTTGGCCTCTTGCTGTGCCTTACTCAGCTCACCCATTCAGGGGTCTCTCCCTGGAGCCTCTTCCCTGGGGACTTTGAAGGGCGGGAGCCTTGTTGTCACTCTTAATTCAGACTCCAGTCACACTTGGGTTTTCTCTGACCATCTACCCTCCCCACCCACCCCTGCCACCCCAACACCTTAAGAAAAGGAGATCATCTAAAGAGGAGGATTCAGAATTTAGGTTGGGGAAGAAAAGGGCAAGGGTTTCATTTGTCCCTGGTGCTGCTGTCTTCTGGGACTCTCTGAGGGGTAAGACGGTGGTGGGCACACACAGCCAAAGGAAGTAGGGGTACAGGGGAGTGCGACTCTGAGTATGGAGTTTATTACTTGGCAGGAAGCACTTCTAATCTTTAACACATGCCCGTAAATGCCGTTGGGAAGATTTGTTAATAAAATTATGCGGAGAGATTCATGGAGTACCTTTTCTGTGCCAGATACGTTAGGTAATAAGCATATTACAGGTAGCCTTTCACTCACTGCTCCAGTCAGCCCTTCCTGGAGTTCCCTCTGTCTCCACCACACAGATGAGGAGACTGAGGCTAAGGGATGGAATCACTGGGTGAGTCTGGGAGGGGTTGTGATCTGGAATCTGTCAGGCCTGGCTGCTCCTCTGCTGAGGTCAGCCCTCACTGGGAGTCACCATGTGAGTAGCTGGCTTTCTCTGAATCCCCCAGCGGGTGGATTTGGGCCTGGAAGACAAAGCTGGGGCTCCTGTTTGTGGCTTGTAAGGAGTGGTTGGTGTTTCCAGGTTGGAATCAATGCTGCTCTGGGGAACATGGAGGAGGACAACTGGAGGTGGCATTTCTATGACACCGTGAAGGGCTCCGACTGGCTGGGGGACCAGGATGCCATCCACTACGTGACGGAGCAGGCCCCCACTGCCATGGTCGAGGTGATGGGCGGGAGGCTCTGGGTGCTCTGGTGGTCTGTTTCCAGTACAAGAGTCCTGGAAAAAATGTAAGCAGTTGAGGCAGATGTGGCAGCCGAAAGAATGGTGATTAGCAAAGCTCACAAGAGAAGTCTTTGTCCATCATGAACTATGTATTACATGTAATAAGAAAAACTTCTCTTTGATGAAGTGTTGACATTTTCATAAAATAGGTTAATTTGGGTTTGCAGATTTGTATTAAAGTTGTTTAGTGTAGATTAGCTGTGAATATCTTGACTCCTTTAGGGTAATAAGGCTTTTGTTTGTTTTTATCTTTCACAGGTAGAAAATTATGGCATGCCGTTTAGCAGAACTGAAGATGGGAAGATTTATCAGCGTGCATTTGGCGGACACAGCCTCAAGTTTGGAAAGGGCAGGCAGGCCCATCGGTGCTGCTGTGTGGCTGATCGGACCGGCCACTCAATATTGCACACCTTATATGGGAGGGTAAGGCTGCCCCCCGTCCACCTGAGACAGGACACATAGTGCTGGGGCTTGTGGTGACAGCGGGGAATGGGTTAGCGTGCCCAGTGAGTCAGCCAGAGATTGCGTAAAAAGCAACAGAGAACAGCCGTGTGGGGCACATGCAGCGACTGTGGATGTGACAGGAGCAGGCGTGTGCCTTGAGAAGCTGCCCCTAAGGCAATGTGTGAGTTGTTGCCTCTATGTTGGGAAGTTGAATTGATAATCTTATATACCAGGTTTTCACTTGGGATATGTGACACTCAGCATGTAAGAACAGAGCAAGCAGGCCAGGCACAGTGGCCCACGTCTGTAATCCCAGCACTTTAGGAGGCCAAGGCAGGAGGATCACTTGAGACCAGAAGTTTGAGACCAGTCTGGAGAACATAGTGAGACCCTGTCTCTACAGAAAGTTTAAAAAGTAGCTGAGCATGGTGGTACATGCTTGTAATCCCAGTTACTCAGGAGGCTGAGGCAGGAGGATCACTTGAGACAGTGAGCCATGTTCATACCACTGCACTCCAGCCTGAGCAACAGGAGACCTGTCTCAAAAAAAGACAAAGAACAAGTATTTTAAGGCTCTTTTACCACCTCTGAGTTCCTGAATGGATTGGTTTGGTTTGTTTGTTTTGTTTTGCTTTGTTTTTGAGACGGAGTCTCACTCTCACCCAGGCTGGAGTGCAGTGGCGCGATCTCTGCTCACTGCAACCTCTGCCTCCCGGGTTCAAGCGATTCTCCTGCCTCAGCCTCCAGAGTAGCTGGGACTACAGGTGCACGCCGCCACGCCTTGCTGATGTTTTGTATTTTAGTAGAGACAGGGTTTCCCATGTTGCCCAGGCTGCTCCCGAACTCCTGAGCTCAGGCAGTCCACCTGCCTCGGCCTCCCAAAGTGCTGGGATTACAGGTGTGAGCCACCACACCCGGCCATGGATTGTTTTCATATTAACTGTTATCACTGGACAAAGACTTGAGGTGACAATAGTTACTGGGTAATCAGGGTCAACTTTGGCATGACCAAACAATATCCTGAACAGTATTGATTCAGAGTAATCCATGTTCTGAGCTTTGTTGTTTTCTGATGCATGGGGACGGATCAGTAATGTGCAGGTTGTTAGAACACCAGTGACTTCTCTGTGGCTGAGTGCATCGACAAGTGTGTGGTGGGAGGAGACGGCGGCTCCTTCCGGAGCAGGAGCTGTCATGTGGGGAGCTGGCCCAGGCTCACGAGAGCGACTTGCGCTGGCTGAGGGAACGGCAGGTCCAGGCGGGCAGCGCTGTCCGGCGCCTACCTTTCTGCGGTGCCGGAATCTGCTCGTCTGCAACCGTCCGCTTTGGTAGCTGCCAGCCACATGGGGCTGTTGCTAATGTGGCAGGTGTAGCTGAAGAGCTGAACGTTTTGACTTATTTTAATTAATTAAGTGGTTATGTGTTGCCAGTAGCTCCCATCTGGGCTGTGACCCCATGGTCTGCGGATCTCACTCTGGCACCAGACTCCGAGTGGAGCTGCATGCGGCCACCGGACAGTGTGGAGTGCCTCTTCGGGTTGTGTAGAAGTAGGAAATGTGTCACCAACATAGGAGCTGTTGCTGCTGCGTTCTCTAGCACACCTGCCTTGTTGGTACTGCTGGGCGTGGAATGCCTCTCGGGCTCTGACAGTGTCATTGACACTGTTGCTGATCTCCTTGGATTTACCTGGTCCATTTGGATCAAGTTCTTTCACCTATTCACATGAGCAGATATCACCTTAAAACCTTAAAGGTTGGCTTAACACTTCTTGCCCTTTTTTTTTCTTTCTTTTAGTCTCTGCGATATGATACCAGCTGTTTTGTGGAGTATTTTGCCTTGGATCTCCTGATGGAGAATGGGGAGTGCCGTGGTGTCTTCGCACTGTGCATACAGGACGGGTCCATCCATCGCATAAGAGCAAAGAATACTATTGTTGCCACAGGGTAGGAATCTAATTTCTACTTTATTTCCTTTGTAAAAATGAATAAATTTCATTTAGAGTCTCTTTATTTTAAGGAAAATAGAGGCATTGTAGAATAGCAGTTCAGACACAGGCCTTGATATAACCACGTGAGGGTGATGGCCTTTCCCAGCCATGGTTCCTCACCTGTAAAGGGTGAGGACAGCAGCACCTGCCTCGGGGTGAGAAAGCATGGCCCTCATTAGTCGGTAGTGGCTGCCGTCAGGTTCACAGCGTACCTCTCCCGATTTTAGATGAGGAAACTGTGGCCCGAAGAGTCACATGGGGTTTTCTGGCAAAATCCCTCTTGTTTTAGTGGGTTCTATGTTTATACTGATTCCTGGGATAGATAAGTCTGTCTTCTCCACATAATGAAAATAAAAAACTTTAATTTTATACAGTGGCAGTTACTTTAGCCACTTTAAAAGTTAAGAAGTGTCAGTACAGCCAAGAAAAAAAATCAGCAAAACTACAGGGTGGGAAAAAATATTTTCCAAACCATATATCTAATGATATCTTAGTATCTAAAATAGCAAAAAAAAATAAAAAATAAAAAAAAGCCCTACTAAAACCAACCTACTAAACCCTACTAAAAAACAACCCTACTAAAAATGGGCAAAGGACTTGAATAGATATTTTTCCAGAGAAGACATACAAATGGCCAGTTGATGTATGAAAAAATGCTCAACATCACCAAGCACCAGAGAAATGCAAATTAAAACCCCAATGAGTATCATCTCATCTCGCTCCAGTTAGAATGGCTGTTACCAAGAGGACAAAAGATAGTGAGTGTTGATGAGGATGTGGAGAAAAGGGAACCCTGTGTGCTGTTGGTGGGAATGTAAATTAGTACAACTATTGTGGAAAACTCTGGAGGTTCCTCAAAAGTCACAGGACTACCATGTGCTCCAGCAACCTCATTTCTGGGTGTATATCCAAAGGGCATGAAATCAGAAGCTCAAAGAGACACCTGGACCCCCATGTTCATTGCAGCGTTATTCACAATACCCGAGATATGGAAACAACCTAAAAATTTTTGGTGTTTAATGACAATGTGGTGTGTGTACACAACTGAATATTATTCAGCTATGAAAACGAAGGAAATCCTGTCATGTGTGACAACGTGGATGAACCCAAAGTCATTATGTTAAGTGAAACGACCCAGGCACAGAAAGACAGATACTGCATGTCACTCATATGTGGATCTAAAACTGTCACAACTCACAGAAACAGAATAGGACAGTGGTTGCCAGGGGCTGGGGGAATGCAGACTGTGGCGATGCTGATTAAAGGTGTAACTTCCCGTCACAAGGTGAAGTTCTGAAGGTCTGATAAACAGCATGGTGGCTAGAGTTAATGTTATAGAGCATGGTGGCCAGAGTTAACATTATACAGCATGGTGGCTACAGTTAAAATCATACAGTACGGTGGCTATCATTAATATAACTTGAAATTTGCGAAGAGAGTAGACCTTAGGTGTCTGTATCTCCAAAAAAAAGGATAATTGTATGAGGTGATAGATGTGTATTAAGTTGATTGTGTCATCAGTTCACAAAATAAATCATCACGCTGTACACCTTAAATATATACAGTATTGTTTTTTGTTTAATTCATCAATCATACCTCAGTAAATCTGGGGGAAAAAAACAAAATCCATAAAAATTTTAAAATTTTCATTATAAAAGTAGTATATGCTTACTGGGGAAACCTTTTGAACAGCACAAATCTAAAATACAAATAGGGCCAGACGCATAGTGGCTCATGCCTGTAATCCCAGCACTTTGGGAGGCCGAAGTGGGTGGATCACCTGAGGTCAGGAGTTCAAGACCAGCGTGGCCAACGTGGCGAAACCCAGTCTCTACTAAAAATACAAAAATCAATTGGATGTGGTGGTGCACACCTGTATTCCCAGGTACTTGGGAGGCTGAGGCAGAAGAATCACTTGAACTTGGGAGCCAGAGGTTGCCGTGAGCCGAGATTGTGCCACCGTACTCCAGCCTGGGCGACAAGAGTTAGACCCTATCTCAAAATAAATAAATAAATAAATAAAATATAAATGGAAGTCTCTTCTCTGATCCCAGGCTTCTATCCTACCTGCGCAGGGTAGCAGCACCACTGGCGTGGCCCCCAGTGATGTGTGTGGGGTGTGCGTGAGTAGGGGGTTGTGTGCACACAGCACTGAGAAGATGGTGCCCGGGGGCTGCCCTGTCCGTTCTGTGATCTCATTAGACAGGAGGTCCGGACGTGGGCCACTGTGTGCAGTCACTGCTCTCTGTTGTTTCCATAGGCTACGGGCGCACCTACTTGAGCTGCACGTCTGCCCACACCAGCACCAGCGACGGCACGGCCATGATCACCAGGGCAGGCCTTCCTTGCCAGGACCTCGAGTTTGTTCAGTTCCACCCCACAGGTAGGGCAGGACGCCTTGCCCGGAAGGCGTTCGGCTCGTGTGTCTTGTAAGCGTGTGGTGCCTACTCATTGCTCTTCCATAGTTTTATGTAATAACATGGTTTTGAAGATCAGCTTCCATAGCTCTCAGGTCCTAACTTCAATGTCATTTCCTTAAGGAGACTTTTCCCACACTCCCCTTCCCCTAAGGCAGTTTGGGCCACCATCTTATGCATTTCTCAAGAGCCCTAAACCCTGCCTTGGTGATACTTATGCCAGCAGTAAAGCAGGGATTGAGGCCGGGCATGGTGGCTCACACCTGTAATCCCAGCACTTTGGGAGGCCAAGGCAGGTGGATCACCTGAGGTCAGGAGTTCAAGACCAGCCTGCACAACATGGTGAAACCTCATCTCTACTAAACATAAAAAAATCAGCTGGGCATGGTGGCATGCACCTGTGATCCCAGCTACTTGGGAGGCTGAGGCGGGAGGAATGCTTGAACCTGGGAGGCAGAGGTTGCAGTGAGCCGAGATCGCACCACTGCGCTCCAGCCTGGGCAACAGAGTAAGACTTCGTCTCAAAAAAAAAAAAAAAAAAAGTAAAGCAGGAATTGTTCAGTGTCCCTCTTTGCAGTGAGGTTGTCAGCAACTCGGGCAGGCAGGTCTTCTCATTAACTGGGGTGCTCCACGCCCAGCACATGGTAGGGTCTCCATCGGGGTTTACTGAGTGAGCATTCTGAGAGCTGGGTGAATGCCGTGGAACCAAGAAGCAGCACAGGCAGATTTCAGCTTTGTAGGACAACACAGAGCTTCCGTGACAATGGGATGTAAAGTTAAGACACAGCCATGAGAGAACCCCATGTGACGTTGGGCGCTGGGCTCAGCCCACGTGACCACTGAGGGAGCTTGTCGTGGGGAAGATGAGCTCGTCTTGGGGACGTCTGACGGTTGAGGTTACGAATGTGCAATTTGGAGACATTAACTCAGAAATGACAGTTGAAGTCTTGAGTTTGGAGGAGGTTCTTCAAAATGAGTCAGAGACAGACACACACACGTCTGCCTCTTGTTTGAGGTGACTCGTCCTGGACTTTTCTGGGTTGCTTTTCTGACCTGTGGACGATGGAGACCCCTGAAGTGGTGCCAAAGAACCAGACCTGTGTCTTCTCTTTCTCTGTCAGTGTCAGCTTTCTGATCCCTGGAAGGGATGAAAATAAGAAATGGATTTGTTGTAGGTTTTTTTTTTAATTTGTTTAGAGATGGGGTCTTGCTCTGTTGCCCAGGCTGGAGTGCAGTGGAGCAATCTTGACTCACTGCAGCCTTTGTCTCCCAGGCTCAAACGATCCTTGCACCTCAGCCTCCCAAATAGCTGGGACTACAGGCATGTGTTACCATGCCCAGCTAATTTTTGAGGGTTTTTTTGTTTTTGGTAGAGACAGGGTGTCACCATTTTAAGCCCAGGCTGGTCTCAAACGCCAGGGCTTAGGCGATCCTCCTGCCTCGGCCCCTCAGGGTGCTGGCATTATAGCCATGAGCCACTGCACCCGGCCTGTTGTATTTTTTATTACTGTTTTTAATCAGCAAAATGTCAGTGAGCCCCTGAATTCCCTCTGTAATTTGCTTAGAGCTCCACTTCTCATGCTTTGTCTTCAATATGTGAGAAGTAACCACAGAAAAAAGAGCATGGAAACTTAGAAAATCAAAAGGCAGGTGAGATGCAAGAATCACATTCTTGTCTTGAAAGCAAGATTGCCCTTTTTGTATACTAATAAAAATTGTAGCTTTTGAAATACATTTAGTTTAGGGTTTTTGATCTCCTTTGTTAAAATTCGAGAGCTTGGCACGCCCTGTTTCTCATCGCACTGAGGAGTCACAGAGCCGCTGTTTGGGGCACAGACCGCCGGACTGCCCAGGTTTGGGTTTGAGCTCTGTCCTCAGCTGCATGACTGGATGTTACCAAGCGTTAATTTGCTTGTCACTGAGAAAGGGGGTCATACTACCCAGAGTTGTTGTAAGACTTAAATGAGTTTAATATGTGGAAAGCAGCTAGAACTGCCCATAGCAAGTGCAGTGTAAAGATGAACTAAAATAATCATTATTACTGTTCTTGCCACTGTTTGGGTAACTTAGATATGAATTCTCCAAGCTAGTATTCTTAACTAGTCACCACAGTATCATAGTGCAAAAGAATGTTCAAAAATTAAAACAAAATTTGAGGCATCCAACGTACACCGGGCTGTAATCAGAGTATTGGCCAGAGGTCTGTGGGCCGGCCTTTCTCCTCTCTGGGGACGCCACTCTGCCCCAGCCTCTGCTGCAGCTGTCAGCCTTGTCAGTGCTTTTTGTTATCCAGACTTTCTACTGTATCTTAACTGTTCTTTCTGTTCAGTTTTGCATATAATGCCTTCTGCATATCTTTTTTGTCTCTCCCCCAAAAAATATCTTGTAAAAAAAAGTAATGCATTTGAAATAGAGACCTAGCAATTGTTAGGTTATAAATGTGTGGTTTTTTGCAGGCACATATGGTGCTGGTTGTCTCATTACGGAAGGATGTCGTGGAGAGGGAGGCATTCTCATTAACAGTCAAGGCGAAAGGTTTATGGAGCGATACGCCCCCATCGCGAAGGACCTGGCGTCTAGAGATGTGGTGTCTCGGTGGATGACTCTGGAGATCCGCGAAGGAAGGTGCGTGTGGTTTACCACCAGCACTGTCTGAGCGGGCACACGGGCCGGGGTTGCTTCTGTGAGTTTCAGCACCGCTCGCCCTCACCTTCGTGTGCAGGCACATGTGCACAGCCACCTCTCTCAGCTGCCGGCAGGCGTCTGTTAGTCTGCGATATTTTCCTAAAGACCTACATTTTGAAAATTTTAGCCAGTTTCTTTCTCAAATCTGTGGAACAGAGTTTCTCTTAGTGTGTGTGAGTATGTGACGGAGTATGGGAGAGAGAGACACGCACCCAACCTGAAGTCGGCGTGTGAGCCTTGGGTGTGGTGTCTGATACCCACAGATGTTTTTCGGCAGCTTTCAAAGTGTGTGGGTCATTTGCCTTTCAGAAGAACAGTTTGCAGCTCTTTCATTGCCTGACCCTGTTCTTTAATGTGATAACACTTGCTAAATATCTGCTGGTATCTGGTGTGGCCTTTAGAGGTTTTACATTTTTATATTAAAAAAAAAAGAAGTCGGATGGTTTCTTGTAATATGGTGGCCCTCCGTATCCATCGGTTCCACATGTGTGGTTTCAACCAACTATGTACTGAAAATAAAATTGCATCCTTACAAACACGCAGACTTTTTTTTTTCCTTGTCATTGTTCGCTAAGCAACACAGTGTAGCAGCTATTTACCTAGCATTTACATTGTATTAGGTACTATGAGTAATCCTGGAGTTGCTGTACAACTTAAATGTAAAACTTGAAATGAGGATGATTTAAAATATGGAGGAGGATGTGCATAGGTTATATGCAAATACTCTGCCATTTTATATTAGGGACTTGAGCATCCACGGATTTTGGTGTCCGTGGGGGTCCTGGACCCAACCTGCCACGGATACGCAGGGACGACTATTTGGCATAGAGGCCTAATGCTTTTACCAAGGACAGCCGCTGCAGGCTGTGATCCCTGAGACGAGTGTGAGTTCAGTAAGGGCAGAGTTTTTGTTCTGGTTCTCAGCTGTGTCCCAGCACCTGGGATTGTCCCTGGCATACAGTAGATGCTTAGAAAAGATTTGATGAGAGGGTGGCCGTACATGAGGGGAAATTTTCCTCAGTATCAAAACATGTTGAAACTCACACGCTTCCAAGATGACGTATTCTCAGGTCTGCTGCCGTTGCCATTCTCTGCCTTATGTGATGGTGTTCTGTCTTACCAGAGGCTGTGGCCCTGAGAAAGATCACGTCTACCTGCAGCTGCACCACCTACCTCCAGAGCAGCTGGCCATGCCCTTGCCCGGCATTTCAGAGACAGCCATGATCTTCGCTGGTGTGGACGTCACGAAGGAGCCGATCCCTGTCCTCCCCACCGTGCATTATAACATGGACGGCATTCCCACCAGCTACGAGGGGCAGGTGATGGTGCTGGCTTCTCTCCCACAGCTGGAAAGAAGGCTGGGACAATGGGGCCCATCTCGCAGTTGTCTCTTTAGATCTTAGAGGAAGAGACAGATGTTTCCTTCCAGAAAGTACTGTATTGTTTGCTAAATTGCACTTGAAATTTCTATCACTGGAGGATGGAAGGAGGCTTAATAATTTATTCCTCCTTAGTAAACTGTCATAGATACATCATTTGCAGCTTTTCCCATTTTATAATTACTTTCCTATATGATCTTGTGTTATTTCTAATGAGCTTATACATCAAGGGATCTTTATAATTCCTATTTCTAATGATCTTGTACATCGAAGGATCTTTATAATTCATACCTGTGAGTGGTTTGCGGTTCACACAGAGCTTGTCAGTCACTTAGCCTCCTTGTTGGGCGAGGTGGGTGGAAGCTGTTACTTTCCCCGCATAGATGAAGAGGTGAACAGGGGGTAGAAGAGTCTGGAACATCAGTCTCCCCTGCTGATGTTCCTCCACCTGCCGTGCTCCTGGGTCTGAGCTGGAGCACAGGTGGTGAGGGCCTCGGGAACATGGGACACGGGGGACAGTCGCAGATGCTGACATTGGAGGCCCTCTGACCTGCTTGTAACAGCAGGTGCTCAGGGGCAGAGGGGAAACTGGGGTATACATTCGGAAGTTTCCTTCTGAAGAAGAGTAGCTATGGTCCTTACTTCCTTCTTAGATATGGTCTTTACTTCCCTCTCTTTGTTTCTTGGAGATGGAGACTCGCTCTGTCGCTTAGGCTGGAGTGCAATGGCGCGATCTCGGCTCACTGCAACCTCCGCCTCCCAGGTTCAAGCGATTCTTCTGCCTCAGCCTCCCGAGTAGCTGGGATTACAGGCACCTGCCATCATGCCTGGCTAATTTTTATATTTTTAGTTGAGACGGGGTTTCACCATGTTAGCCAGACAGGTCTCGAACCCCTGAACTCAGGTGATCCACCCGCCTCAGCCTCCCAAAGTGCTGGGATTACAAGCGTGAGCCACTGCATGCCCGACCTACTTCCCTCTCTTTCTCTGACCTGCAGCACAGACACCCTGTTGAGGGAGGTGGGCTTGTGGAGGAATGGGCATCTTGACATTTCACCTGAAATCTTCCTTTCCACAGGTCCTGAGGCACGGGAATGGCCAGGATCAGATTGTGCCCAGCCTGTACGCCTGTGGGGAGGCCGCCTGTGCCTCTGCACATGGTGTCAACCGCCTCGGGGCAAACTCGCTGTTGGACCTGGTTGTCTGGTCAGGCATGTGCCCTGAGCATCGCAGAGTCGTGCAGGCCTGGTAAGTGTTTTCTTCAGGACCCAGACTATTTGAGAAGGCGCAGGAGGTTAGTCTTTTTTCTTTTTTTTTGAGACAGGGTCAGCCCAGGCTGGAGTGCAGTGGCACAGTCATAGCAGCCTCAACCTCCCGAGCTCAAGCAGTCCTCAACACCTCAACCTTCAGAGTCCCAAGTAGCTGGGACTACAGATGTGCACCACCACACCTGGCTAATTTAAAAAAATTTTTTTTGGTAGAGACAGGGTCTCACAATATTGCCCAGGCTGGTCTTGAACTCCTAGACTCAAACAGTCTTCTGCCTCAGCTTTCCAAAGTATTGGGATTACAGGCATGAGCCACTGCACCCAGCCAGGTTACAAAGCCTTGATTTCTTACTGGAAATTTGCGTAGTGAGCATATAGAGGTAGTCTGGGTTTTTTCCCCTAGAAGTGATTAAACTGAGAAATCCAGAGATTATATGGTGGTAATGTTGAGACTAGATAGAGGCTGGTTGGGGATCTTAACAGTTAAGGTGACATTTTTGGGGTTACATTTTTTTTTTTTAAATTATTTTGCAGTCATTATTTTCTGTTTAGAAAAAGCACTATTAGGAAGCTGTTATTTTTAGGGGAAGTTCATTACGTATTACTTGCCTGATAAAAATCACTTATTTGCAATGAAATATTTAAAATAGTTGGCATGAATGAATATGTAACTTCTTGGTACTTAGAAAAATAATTTAGGCCATTCTAAAAGTACAACTAACCTCTATTAGAGGAGAAGGGCTGACTTAGAGTGAACAGGATTCCCACCCTCTACGGACAGATTCGATTTCACTTGCTGGTTTTCTTTTCAGGATAGCGTCAAATAATGTGCAGGAAAAGGAATACCGTGTGTGGGAGTGTGAGTCTTATGTGCACGAAGAACAGGACAGTTAGCATCGTTCCCACCTCCAGAGATCCTCACGGTGGTCATGCAGCCTCGTGTGCTCAGAACAGTGTGAGGTGGATGAGGCACTGGTGGATGTTTGCGTGGCAAGGATGGTGGGACCCCAGGCCCACGTTCTTCCCGTTAGCTTTCTCTGGTGTTAACTGTTTAGCATCATTTCTGCTGTTTTTATAGAACAGGCGCTTTTTGCTTTTTGTATGGACTCAAGTGAAATAAAAACTAGCACCGCCGTACCTTATAAACATGACCCTTTTCTATCTGTAGTTAGAAAGGTACAGGCAGTATTAAAAGGGTAGCTACTTCAGACACTGTGTCTCTGTGGATCTGACGACAGCTCAGGAGGCCAGCACATGCAGAGCCGGCGTCTCATCCCCAGCCGTTGCTGATCATCGGCGAAGGCGGAGTTCAGGTGCCTCGCTCCTGACGCCACAGGTTGTGCTTGTCTCACTCCATAGCCCTGCACTTTGTCGCAGTGAGGTCTGATACCACTTCTCTCAGAGCAGTGTAGAAATTTTGAGCTTCTCTTTCTTTGAAAATGCAGAAAAGAACATTTTGTGAGAATACCCTATACTTGACATCTGAGAAACCGCTCACACATGCAGCATCTCACGCAGAATGCTGTGGAGTCGGACTCAAAAGGCTGCACGCCTGTGGTCCTGTTGATAGGACATTCTGGACAAGGCACATCTAGGGAAGAAAAGGGATTGGTGGTTGCCAGAGGCTGTTTCCTGATTGTGCTGAGGCTTACAGACACAGCTCTGTGTGTGTCAAAGTTTGAAAAACCTACATTAAAAATGATGAGTTTATTTTACTGTATCTTTACGCTTTAATTTTTAAAAATGAAAAGGAAAGAAAAAATGCTTGTAGCATCCCTACTTCTCCCCCAACCCCCGACCCCCCCAAAAATATATATATGTGTATTTTTAGACATAGTCTCCCTCTGTCACCCAGGCTTGAGTGCAGTGGTACGATCAGGTGCACGCCACCACATCTGGCTAATTTTTAAAAATGTATTCTAGGGACAGGGTCTCCCTGTGTTGCCCAGGGTGGTCTTGAACTCCTGACCTCAAGTGATCCTCCTGTCTCAGCCTCCCAAAGTGGTTACATGCATCTATCCATGTGTTAAAATCGGTAGAACTGAGGCCGGGTGCAGTGGCTCACACCTATAATCCCACCACTTTGGGAGGCCAAGGCAGGCCGATTGCTTGAGCTCAGGAGTTCGAGACCAGCTTGGGCAAGGTGGTGAAACCCCGTCTCTACCAGAAATACAAAAATTAGCTGGGCATGGTGGCTCACACTTGGGTAGTCCCAGCTACTTGGGAGGCTGAGGTGGGAGGATTGTTGGAGCCTAGAAGGCGGAGGTTGCTGTGAGCCGAGATCACACCACTGCACTCCAGCCTGGGCAACAGAGGGAGGAGACACTGTCTCAAAAAAAAAAAAGAAAAAAGAAACTGTAGAACTGTCCACCGAAAGAAAAAAGTCAATTTTAATGGATGATCAATTTTTAAAGCGTTATAAACAAAAGGAAAAGAGACACCAGCAAGCCTAGAAGCATTTGAGCAGACCGTCAAGAGACCCACAGCCTGGTCCCGAGGAGAGGCGGTAGGCGGGACAGGGCCTGTTTGACTCCTGCATTTCATACCTCCTATCTCCTGCATGTGTTACCTATTGAAGAAAAAATACATATAATTTTATAAAAAAAAAAAACCTTTAAAACTTTTTTCAAGACATCTTGGAAACACAAGAGTTGCAAATCTTGGCCGTGCGCAGCAGCTCACACATGTGATCCCAGCACTTTGGGAGGCTGAGGCAGGTGGCTCACCTGAGGTCAGGAGTTCGAGACCAGCCTGGCCAACATGGTGAAACCCCATCTCTACTGAAAATACAAAAATTAGCCAGGTATGGTTGCAAACTCCTGTAGTCCCATCTACTCCAGAGTCTGAGGCAGGAGGATTGCTTGAACCAGGAGGTGGAGGTTGCAGTGAGCCGAGATGGTGCCACTGCACTCCAGCCTGGGCTACAGAGCAAAATTCCATCTCAAAAAAAAAAAAAAAAAATTGCAAATCTTGAAGTATAGGTGAGAGCACACAACAGTCCAAATCAGCAGGTGACTTGCAAGCACACAGCAGCCACCTTCCTCCCCCTAATGTGAAGGACAGTGGGGCGGCCGGCCCCTTGGGACCACCATCTGGAAGGTGTCATTTTTTCCCGTTAGTGGAGTGACATTTATATACACTTAATGTATATAAATCTGTATACATTTAATTTTTTTTTTTTGTAAGACAGGGTCTCGCTCTGTTGCCCAGGCTGGAGTGCAGTGGCGCGATCTCGGCTCACTGCAACCTCCACCTTTCGGGTTAAAGCAGTTCTCATGCCAGATAATTTTTGTGTTTTTAGTAGAAATGAGGTTTTGCCACGTTGGCCAGGCTGCTCTTGAACTCCTGACCTCAAGTGCTTCACCTACCTCAGCCTCCTAAAGTGCTGGGATTACAGGCGTGAGCCACTGCACCTGGCCTACATTTTAATTTTTTAATTTTAGAGATGATTTCTAGTTTATTCACTCTAAGATCACTTAATGGATATCTACTGTGTGCCAACAGTTTTGCCTTTTATGTCTGTTCTTTAAAATTGGCCCCAACTCAACAGATGGCCTCAGATGTAGGGTGGGTTGGCAGTGTGTTAGCTCAGGAGACTTACACCGTTTCCAGGCTCCTTGAGCGGCTATGCTACATTTTTGTGTGTAGTACTAAATCCATTTGTTTTTTTAAAACGGTTTTCAAAAGTTAAATTCTAGCTCTTTTTGTTGTTGTTTTAGGAGATAAAGTCCCTCCAATTAAACCAAATGCTGGGGAAGAATCTGTCACGAATCTTGACAAATTGAGATTTGCTGATGGAAGAAGCATAAGAACATCGGAACTGCGACTCAGCATGCAGAAGGTAAGAGCCTGGACTCGCTCTGGAGTGAGCAGGCTGGCTGCATACCTGGCCCTGCACTGGTTTTGTTTTTTTAAAAACAGATCTAGGGGGATGCAGGTGCAGCTTTGTGTGGATGTACTGGGAGGTGGTGGAGTCTGGGCTTTTCATGTACCTGTCACCCAAGTCGTGTGTGTTGTACTCAGCAGGTAATTGCTCATCCCCACCCCTCCCGCTTTTTGGAGCCCACAGTCTGTTAGTCCACTCCGTGTGTCCATGTGTACTCACCGTTCAGCTCCCACTTCCAAGGGAGAATGTGTGACACTTGACCTTCTGACTCACTTAGGATAGTGACCTCCCATTCCATCCGTCTGGCTGCAGAAGACATGATTGCATTCTTTTTTTATGGCCAAGTAGTATTTCATGGTATATATGTACCACATTTTCTTTATCCGGTCGTCCGTTGATGGGCACTTAGGTTGATTCCATGACTTTGCTATTGTGACTAGTGCTGCAATAAACATACGAGGCTGCACCAGTATGTGGAGGTAAACAGCAGTAGGACATACTCCTCACTGTATCAAGAATATGAAAGAGACCAGAAGTGCACTTCTTCTCCACATAGAAGGTCAGCAGGCCAGGGCAGAATTAGTGACTGCTTAGCATCCAGGACAGCCTTCTGTGGTTCACTCGTGTGTGCTTGGGCATGACCTCCGTGCCCTGACCGTCGCTGGCTGTCATGGATGAGTCACAGTGTGGAGGAGAGGGAGCCGCAGGACTGCCGGAGAAGCTCCGTCCCCAGCAGGGCAGCTTTCTCTTAGAGGTTTCCTGGAGTTCAACACAACACTGGTGCTTACATCTCAGGCCCAGATATTGATCATGTCATCATGCCTGGCTTCCAGCAGCTCGGAAACGTCTTTAAGCTAGACCTGTTGCTGCCCCTAAATATACTCAGCAGAGAGGGAGAGTGGGCGGCAGGTGGACAGTGATCTGTGCGGCCTGTGCTGCTGGGAGTCGGTCCAGTAGGACCGTCTGTGATGATGGAAATGTTGAGTGTTTGCCGTCCAGTATGGCAGCCATTAGCCATGGGGCCGTGGAGAACCTGATATATAGTCAGTCTAAGAAACTCAATTCCTCTAATAACAAGGATTCTTGTCCATGAATGAGATCTCTTGTCTGCTATTTGCAAGAATTTCTGCGTATTTTCTAGAAAGAAGTCCACTGCTTTAGTCCTATTCTGAAAGGCATTTGGTGTTAGACACAAGAGAACAGGTTCCCTGCTGACAATTTTCAGAGGCCCGTGCCCTTCGGTCTTCAGGTGAGGCTGGGCTTGAGGGAGGTTTTGTGGAACGGTGAGAAGAACAGCGTGACTAAGGCACAGAAGGCTGAGTGATGCCCTGCAGTGCTTTTGTAGGGTTGGAGGCCAGCTGGGAAAGAAGGAACCCTTGCGTTAGAGAATGGGAACATGCCTTAGGATATAGAAATGGCAAATCTGAGATAGTTTGAAGTGAGAATACTAGAAGTGTTCCCACCAAACAAGGTGTGTCTTGGTGCCTGCTGTATCCCAGGCTCCGTGAGGTGCCGGAGTCAGCACTGAACAAACAGAGCTTCCTATGCTTGCGGAAATGCATTTCGTTGGGGGAAGGGATTTTTCTGCTGACTCTGGCTATTAATAGTAACAATCAAAAAAAGAAATGAGGTAAATTGATAGAAACAGGCCCCCAAATGTGGCCATAAACTGGCCCCAAAACTGGCCATAAACAAAATCTCTGCAGCATGTGACGTGCTCGTGATGGCCAGGACGACCACGCAGGAAGGTTATGGGTTTACCGTAATGAGGGCAAGGAACACCTGGCCCACCCAGAGTGGAAAACCTCTTAAGACCTTCTTAAACCACAAACAATAGCATGAGCGCTCTGTGCCTTAAGGACATGCTCCTGCTGCAGATAACTAGCCAGACCCATCCCTTTATTTCCTGTAAGGAATACTTTCAGTAAGTCTTATCACTGGCTTGCTGTCAATAAATACGTGGGTAAATCTCTGTTTGAGGCTTTTGGCTCTGAAGGCTGTGAGACCCCTGATTTCCCACTCCACACTCTATATTTCTGTGTGTGTGTCTTTACTTCCTCTAGTGCCACTGGGTTAGGGTTTCCATGACCCAGCTGGTCTTGGCAGTAAATATTGAAAAGGAATAGATACAGTTGCCATTATTTACAGATATAATTTCCAAAAAATTTCCAGAGAATAAACGGAAAAACTAACAGAAACAAAACAAGAATGTAGTAAGGTATGTGTATAAGAGATTTGTATGTAAAAATCAGTAGCTTTGCAATGTGCCAGCAGTAATCTGCTCAGACATCAGTAAATATCTCATTCGCATTTCAAACAAAAAATTTAAAATGCCTTGAAATAATGTAACCAGAAATACGAAAAGATGATATGAAAACGTCGCTGCTAAAGGACATGAAAGAATGTAATACTAGATTCTGAGATGCAATTTTTTTCATTTGTTCTTCCTGAAAAACCATTAGGTTGATGTGCATTACAGTGTTACGATTATGTATGAGTCTAAGGAAAATCAGATGAAATGTCCAAATTGAACCACGAAGGTGCATTGGTAGAGGAAGAGACAATTAGGGTCAGTGGAGCAAAGCACAGTTAGAGGGAGAAGCAAGGAGGAGGAGGGATCACGGAGGTGGTGCCTGTGTGTCCCACAGGAAGCAAAAGCTGATGCCCAGTTCCCAGCATACCTAAGTAAACTTCAGGTCCACTCCTAGCACGTTTCTCGTGATAGTAAAACTATGAAGGAACTCAGTGTACAAGGAGCTTCTACAAAATAGGCAGAAGACAGTAGCCAGATGGGCCAAGGGCCCCAGCCACCCACGCCCCTCCCTCTCCTTGAAGACCTTCGGTTCCAACCCCACCATCAGCAGGGCTCTGCTCAGTTCCTCCTTGTGTGTATCACCACAGGGCTGCTGGCTCGTGTCACGTTCACCACCAGACCCCACATCAGGAGTCCCGCCAGGGGTGTGGGGAGGCAGTGCTGCCTGGTTGGCCGTGGAGCCGTATGGAACGTGGTGCCTCACAGGCAGTCTGCTTGGCGTCCTGGACCCTGGCTGTATCCCGCTGGAAAGGATGTGTGTGGGTCTAAGATATGTATATAATAGAAACATTTATTCAGAAGCTTTAGTCAAGACTTCATTTTTAAGTTCAGAGTAATAAACTCATAGTCTAAATTTCCTAATTTTTCTGTTTAATTTACATAAATAAAATGAAATGCAAAACAACAGGTCTAAAAGTTAAGCAGTTCTTGGTATGGCTGCTTCTATGAATTAAAAGTTTACAAATAATATTTTGTGCCACAGTCAACGCAAAATCATGCTGCCGTGTTCCGTGTGGGAAGCTTGTTGCAAGAAGGTTGTGGGAAAATCAGCAAGCTCTATGGAGACCTGAAGCATCTGAAGACGTTTGACCGGGGTGAGCAGACAGTGGGCTCTGTGCACACTGTTGGGCCCTGCCTTCTGCAGGGTGGGCTGGTGTCTGTCCCGTCAGTGCTGACTTAGTTCCATGCTTGCTGTCTGGATGGGTGCTGGCCCCCAGCTGTAAAGCCACAACCAGTGACTCCATGGACTAGCAGGCCCAGGCTGACAGCTCGGAGGGCCCGTGTGACTGGGTCCCACCTGCCCCTGATGGAACTTTTTGTGTCCCCAGGAATGGTCTGGAACACGGACCTGGTGGAGACCCTGGAGCTGCAGAACCTGATGCTATGTGCGCTGCAGACCGTCAATGGAGCAGAGGCGGGGAAGGAGTCACGGGGCGCGCACGCCGGGGAAGACTACAAGGTGCGCCTTCTCGCCACGCCCACCTGCACCTGCCTTTTCCTCCCGCCTGGTGGGACTCAGCCCCACCCCTGCATTTTCTCTGCATTTTATGTCGTTTCCCCAAAAGTATATCCAAAAAATGCCTTTTTCCCTCTGGTAACTTTGATCCCTGGGTTCTCGCCATTTTCTGGATCACTGTGACCTGTTCCTTGCTTTGGGTCGGCATCCACTGATGCCAGCAGTGGCATCTCCAAGCCAATGTGCTTTGCTGTTAGAAGGCCAAGGTTAGAAGTGCAGCCAGCGTGGCATGACCAGGAAATAAATGCCAGTTTATTAAATAACGAGTAAGCCACCGTTTCAAGCCTGCCCTATGGAGGAAATGCCAGTTTATTAAATAACGAGTAAGCCACCGTTTCAAGCCTGCCCTGTGGAGGAAATGCCAGTTTATTAAATAACGAGTAAGCCACCGTTTCAAGCCTGCCCTGTGGAGGAAATGCCAGTTTATTAAATAACGAGTAAGCCACCGTTTCAAGCCTGCCCTGTGGAGGAAATGCCAGTTTATTAAATAACAAGTAAGTCACCGTTTCAGACCTGCCTTGTGGAGGAAATGCCAGTTTACTAAATAACGAGTAAGCCACTGTTTCCAACCTGTCCTGTGGTTTGGAAAAGGTATTATAGAGCCTGTCCTGTGGTTTGATTACGGAGACTGCCCTGTGGTCACTTGTTCTTCAGATGAACTGATTTTTGTGCAGAGCACACGTGTTGGATTCTGCCTGGTAAGAGTTTTTCACATATGATAGCAAAAAACGACGGAAAGGGAAGCTTGGGGTGCAAATGCAAGTTCAGGATAAACCACATCGGCAAAAGGACAAAGGCTCCACAAGGCAGGCGCACAGGCTGGTTCAGGGCCATGTGTGGGCGGCTGGTGGCAGCCTTTCCAGTCAGCTGAACACAGTGAATGGGAAAATCATTTTTATTCACCATGAAATTTTACTGATTTACCCTCCACTAGAATATGCTGATGGCTGTGATCACTGCTCAGAATTTGCTCGTCTCCTCATACATATTAAGAGTCTTTCCTGCAAAGTATATGAATCCGTGTTTGCCAGAATACAGAATAATAATAAATTTATTATTTTTAATTTTTTGAGATGGAGTCTCATTGTCCCCCAGGCTGGAGTGCAGCGGCGCGATCTCAGCTCACTGCAACCTCTGCCTCCCAGGTTCAAGTGATTCTCCTGCCTCAGCCTCCCAAGCAGCTGGGGTTACAGGCGCATGCCACCGTGCCCGGCTAATTTTGTATTTTCAGTAAAGACGGGGTTTCACCATGTTGGCCAGGCTAGTCTCGAACTCCCGACCTCAAGTGAACCACCCACCTTGGCCTTCCAAAGTGCTAGGATTACAGGCATGAGCCACTGTGCCTGGCCAGGAGCATAAATTTAGTTGGTGACAACGAGTTTTAATTAGAATAGAAGCCAGGTGCAGTGGCTCCCACCTGTAATCCCAGCATTTGGGAGGCTGAGGCAGGCAGATCACTTGAGCCCCGGAGTTCTAGACCAGCCTGGGCAACATGGCGAAACCTGTCTCTACAAAAATTAAAAAATTAGCCAGGCGTGGTGGTACACACCTGAGGTACCAGCTGCTCAGGAGGCTGAGGCAGGATGATTGATTGAGCCCGGGAAGTCAAGGCTCTGGCGAGCTGTGATCACACCATTGCGCTCCAGCCCAGGTGACATAGCGAGACCCTGTCTCAAAAGAGAAAAAAAGTGTTTTTAATAAAAACAGGCTGAAAGAAAAGATGGAGGTAGTCTCCCAGCGCTTGGAGCAAAAAGACAAAGTATTTGATAAACTCTTAGGTACATAAAGGATGTCTAAGGGAACATGCGGACATGGATTACTCTGGACTCACTGCTGGCTGCACATCGCTGGCCAGCCATGTGGCCTCTGTGGGTTCTGAACGTGTTGATGGTGCCAACCTCCTGGGCTGAAGTGGAAATGGAATGGGTTCTAGGGCATCTGTCTCTTAGATCATTTTAATGTTTGCTGTGTTTTTTCTGTATTGCTCTGTTAGAGTAATGAGAAATGTGATGGTGTTTCTGGCCTCAGGTGCAGATTGATGAGTATGATCACTCCAAGCCCATCCAGGGGCAACAGAAGAAGCCCTTTGAGGTGCACTGGAGGAAGCACACCCTGTCCTATGTGGACGTCGGCACTGGGAAGGTCAGTGTGGAGCTCGTTCTCACCACAGCCCAGCACCCACACGGCCCCGCCCAGGTCTGCGGGCTGGCCTTGCTGATGGTGAACGCGGAGGAGCAGGCCAGATTTAAATCAACTCCCGACAGATTTGAGGCACCGCTGAAAAAGGCACTCTGACAGCAGTCGGGCTTCGGGCTGGAAACAGAATCCAGTGCCTGCAGGTGGTTCAGAGGAGCCTTAAGGAAGGGTTGCTCTGTGGTGTGGGCCAGATGGAAGTCACTGGGCAGGAGCAAGTGTCCAAGGCCTGGTGGCAGGGGAGGAGATGATGATTGTGGACCTAGCGAGAAAGTCAGCATCTGTGTGGTGGGGACAGAGCCACTACCAGAAACCAGTCCCGAGCCAAGGGAGCCCAGAAGAGACCCCTCCCCTCTCTTCCCATGGGCTGGGCCAACTGGAAGCATCTGCAGGGGAGCAGAGGGGATGTGGTGCAGCCCTTAGCATCCCCTGGGCACTGAGCAAGCAGAGAAGGGCAGAAATGGAGGCAGGGTTGGGGTAAGCAGCGTCCTGGGAACAGCCAGCCGAGGGTGTGGTAGGGGGGTTGCAGCTTGTTCCACACAAGCACAGCGTCTTGGGAACAGCCAGCCGAGGGTGTGGTAGGGGGTTGCAGCTTGTTCCACACAAGCACAGTTCACCTGTGTGGCATTTCCACTGGGCATTGAGATTCAGAAATCATGAAGATAGAAAGCTTTTACCCTTAAGCTTTTCATAACTTGTAAGGGAGAGTCGTATAATCACTTAGCTGTGTCTGTGGAAGTTACCTTTGGACTCTCACTATCATCTAGTGTGTCTGTGATTCAGGCAGTGGGTCATTTTCAGAATTTATCATGAAGGCCATTTCCTGATAGTATAGAGAGGTCACACTTCACTCGCTTAGCACAAGTCTATTTTTAATGTTTCCGGGTTCAGGTTTTTTGTTTTGTTTTTGTTGTTCTGAGATAGAGTCTCATCTCTTTTGCCCAGGCTGAAATGTGGTGGCTCGATCTCATCTCACTGCAGCCTCAACCTCCCCTCGGCTCAGGTGATCCTCCCACCTCAGCCTCCCGGGCACATGCCACCATGCCTGGCTAATTTTTGTATGTTTTGTAGAGACGGGGTTTTGCCACGTTGCCCAGGCTAGTCTTGAGCTCCTGAGCTCAAGTGATCCACCTGTCTTGGCCTCCCCAACAGGCATGAACCAACACGCCCAGCCAGTTTCAGTGATTTTTGAAGAAATACATACTCATTTTAGAAAGTACAAAGAGATTGAAATAAGAGCTCACTAACCAGAGATGACCCATTATGGTTTAAATTTCTTTGTATATGTGCCTACCTTTTCCTGTGTGTGCATATTTAATACACGGCTTGAGTATTCCTTCTCTGAAATCCTTGGGACCAGAAGTGTTTTGGATTTCAGGCTTGTTCAGACTTTGGAATATTTGCATTACACTTACTGTCTGAGCATCCTTAATCGGAAGATCTGACTCCATAGCACATTTCTTTTGAATGTCATGCTGGTGCTCAGAAAGTTTCAGATTTGGGAGAATTTCAGATGTTTGGATTAGGGATGTTCTACCTATATAAATATTTACTTTGAAGTAGAAAAACTGGAAGTAGATAGTTTAAACATGAAGTGTCTTGGTATAGACAAGGGTTCTCCCACTTTTCATGATGGGAGCATTTTTGTAAAGCAAAGCACTGAGAATCTGGTACAGTGTCATTTTCGTTGCTCTGTTCCACTCTACCGATCTGCCGTCATTTACAGTCCCCTGTTGCGCATGTAGATCATTTTTGAATTTGTTATTGGAAAATACTGCAGCAAATACCTTAAAGTTCACATGCCGTAAATCTACTTTTATAGTTAAAATTTTTCAAAAGGAACACAAGAGATGGCTTTTTGTACATTTTTGTGCTTAACTTACCACTGACTTCTTTTCAAGGTCACTGTGGAATATAGACCCATAATTGACAAAACTTTGAACGAGGCTGACTGTGCCACTGTCCCCCCAGCCATTCACTCCTACTGATGAGACAAGATGTGGTGATGACAGAATCAGCTTTTGTAATTATGTATAATAGCTCATGCATGTGTCAATGTCATAACTGTCTTTATACGCTTCTGCACTCTGGGGAAGAAGGAGTACATTGAAGGGGGATTGGCACCCAGTGGCCGGGGAGCGTGGCACTTACCTTTGTCCCTTGCTTCATTCTTGTGACAAGATAAAACTGGGCACAGCTGTTAAATAAAATATAAATGAACAAACTTTCTTTTATTTCCAAATCCATTTAAAATATTTTCCTGTTATGACTTGTCATATTTGTTGACCTAAAAATCAAATGTAATTATCTTTGTATTCTGTTACATCAAAATCCAGATATTTTGTTGCAGTTTCTTTTTTTTTTTTTTTTTTTTGAGACAGGGTTGGTGCAGTCTCAGCTCACTGCAGCCTCAAACTCCTGGGCAGCTCAGGTGATCTTCCCGACTCAGCCTTCTAAGTAGCTGGGGCTACAGGTGTGCACCACCACGCCCAGCTCATTTATTTTGTAATTGTAGGGACAGGGTCTCACTTTGTTGCCTAGGCTGGTCTCAAACTGCTGGGCTTAAGTGATCGTTCCTCCTTGGCCTCCCGAAGTGCTGGAATTATAGGTGTGAACCACCATGTCTGGCCTTGTAGTTTATTTCTAAGTTCAAATTAATGTTGGTGCTTTTCCTCCTTTTTTCTTAGCAGATGGTTTGCTAGGTGAGTGTGTCCTCGATTCTTTAAATCAGGGGTCCCCAATCCCCAGGCCACAGATTGTTCCAGTCCATGGCCTGTTAGGAACCAGGCCACACAGTAGGAGGTGAGCAGCCAGCCAGTGAGCATTACTGTGTGAGCTCCGCCCCCTGCCAGAGCATTACTGTGTGAGCTCCACCCCCTGCCAGAGCATTACTGTGTGAGCTCCGCCCCCTGCCAGAGCATTACTGTGTGAGCTCCGCCCCCTGTCAGAGCATTACTGTGTGAGCTCCGCCCCCTGCCAGAGATTACTGTGTGAGCTCCGCCCCCTGGCAGAGCATTACTGTGTGAGCTCCGCCCCCTGGCAGAGCATTACTGTGTGAGCTCCGCCCCCTGCCAGAGATTACTGTGTGAGCTCCGCCCCCTGTCAGAGCATTACTGTGTGAGCTCCGCCCCCTGCCAGAGTATTACTGTGTGAGCTCTGCCCCGTCAGAGCATTGCTGTGTGAGCTCCGCCCCCTGCCAGAGTATTACTGTGTGAGCTCCACCCCCTGTCAGCATTACTGTGTGAGCTCCACCCCCGTCGGCATTACTGTGTGAGCTCCGCCCCCTGCCAGAGCATTACTGTGTGAGCTCTGCCCCCTGTCAGAGCATTGCTGTGTGAGCTCCGCCCCCTGCCAGAGTATTACTGTGTGAGCTCCACCCCCTGTCAGCATTACTGTGTGAGCTCCACCCCCGTCAGCATTACTGTGTGAGCTCCGCCCCCTGCCAGAGCATTACTGTGTGAGCTCCGCCCCCTGCCAGAGCATTACTGTGAGCTCTGCCCCCTGTCATCATTACTGTGTGAGCTCCGCCCCCTGTCATCATTACTGTGTGAGCTCCGCCCCCTGCCAGAGCATTACTGTGTGAGCTCCGCCCCCTGCCAGAGCATTACTGTGTGAGCTCCGCCCGCTGTCATCATTACTGTGTGAGCTCCGCCCCCTGTCATTACTGTGTGAGCTCCGCCCCCTGTCATATCATTACTGTGTGAGCTCCGCCCCCTGTCATATCATTATTGTGAGCTCCGCCCCTGTCATATCATTGCTGTGTGAGCTCCGCCTCCTGTCAGATCAGTGGTGGCATTAGATTCTCATAGGAGTGGAATCCTGTTGTGAACTGCGCATGAGAAGGATCTAGGTTATGCCCCGCTTATGAGAATCTAATACTGATGATCTGAGATGGAACCGTTTCATCTCCAAACCATCCCCACACTTGTCAGTGGAAAAAGTGTCTTCCGTGAAACCAGTCCCTGGTGCCAAAAAGGTTAGGGACTGCCGGTTTAAATAACCAAATGCTAAAAGAACTGGCATAGAAGTAAATGGGCTGCTGCTTTATTTTTAGGCTGTTCTTTTTAGAGAGCAATGACAGTTATTTCCAAGTTTGTCATTAGAAAATAATATTAGGTTGGAGCAAAAGTAATTGCAGTATTTGCCATTGCTTTCAATGGTAAAAGGCACAATTACTTTTGCAGCAACTTAATATTATAAATTTGTTCTTAAAGTGTATTTTTGATAAGAAAGCCGTTTTGTTTTTCCTTCTGTTAATTTTTTGTTTTTTTCTTGGTCGAGACAGAGTCTTGCCATGCTGCCCAGGCTGGAGTGCAGTGGTGTGATCTCGGCTCACTGCAGCCTCCACCTCCTGGGCTCCAGCAGTCCTCCCACCTCAGCCTCCCTAAGAGCTGAGACTACAGGTGTGAGCCACCATGCCTGGCTAATTTTTAGAGACAGGGTTTCACCCTCTTGCCCAGGCTGGTCCCAAACTCCTGGGCTCAAGCAGTCCTCCTGCCTCAGCCTCCCAGAGTATTGGGATTATAGGTGTGAGCCACTGCCAGAAAAACGTTTCCTAAGACAAGGCAGGTCTTACATTATATTTAAATTTTTTTTAATGATGTCTTTTTTGGCAGTGCACAGCCAGAGGACAACACATCACACACAAGAAACAGTTGTGCTCATGTGATGGGGGCCTCAGCACTAGGAAGGAGTGGACTGTTGGCGCACGCAGCAGCTTGAATAAATCTGAAAGTCACTACGCTGCGTAAGAGAAGCCAAATAAAGCGCATGCTGTGTACAGAGGGTGTCGAGAATGCCTCCTACGTGACGGAAAGCAGATCCGTGGTTCCCTGCAGACTGGCAGGAGCAGATTCCAAAGGCACAGGAAGAAGCTTGCAGGTAGAATGTGTTCATTACCTTCTGCGCATTATACCACAAAAAAGCTGGGAATAAAAATGCTAACCAAAAAAAAAGGTGAAAGTAGATAAAATTTCTCAACTGTGTGATGGGTAAACGTGCAGGTTTGCTGTCATGCTTTGTTTATGAAGCTGTGGGGTACAAGGACTCTCATACGTCACTGTGGAATGCAGAACGTTGCAGCCTCATGGAAGAGGATTTGGCAGCATCTAACAAAACGACATGGCATTTGCCCTTAGACTCAGCAATTCTAGAATCTGCCTCAAAAAAAACTCTGGCAAAGAAATGAAAGGACTTTATCCACAGAGTTCTTTTCACAGCCTGAATGTGTTTGCCACAAAGTTCTTCACTGTGGCATTTGTAAAACTGGAAACAATCAAAATGTCCATCAGTAAGGGATTAGGAACATTAATTCGTGCAGTGGGGAACTCCGTACCAGAAGGAGGAATGAGGAACGCCTATTGATAAGGGGCAGAGTACATATAATATAATGCAAATATATATTTGCTTTTTCTTAAAACAGTACAAAGATAAAAATCTAAAGTGGTTGCTGTGGAGGACAGGGGTCAGTGGTGGAAGTGAGACCGAAATAGACTCTGAAGTAATATCTGGACTTTGAAATTGTAAGTGTTTTACATATTACCAAACTAAGTTTTTAAGATAGTCCCTAAAATTGAAAGAATGGTATCTGAAATGAATGAATCTAAATTCCTTGGATTGCATTCTACAGGCGCCAACCCTGAGACAAAAATTTGGAAGGTGGCCCTGAGCAGCAGCTGAAGGGAAGTGGGAGGTGAGACAGGAAAGAGGCGGCAGCATGGGGCGTCCGGGAGCCGGGTCTCATGTGGACAGCTGGGCCCGTGTTCACTGTGGGAGCTGGTGCGTTCCTTCACCAGCCCACGCTGCACAGGTTCAGGATGGTCAATTCCGGGCACCCCTGGCCTGCTCCAGGACATGCTGCTGCCACCAGAGAAAGCCCCTAGGCAGCGTCCCGGGTGCTGGTGGTGTCAGAATCGAGTTTGAGTCTGAGGAGTGACCTGGGGCTGGCTGGGCTAGGCAGCATCACGGGGTTCTGCAGCCCAACTGCACATCAGGCTGGTGACAGTCACGCAGCCTATTACTTCATGTGTCATCAGAGGATCGCTAGAACACAGCACTTCAAGTGTGCAGATTTAGTGAGCCATAGTCTAAAGACAAATAGAGCCACTGAATCCTAAATTTCAATCAATCATCTCCGTTACTCGTCTTATAGGTATTAATCCTTTGAAATTATGTGGGGTGGGAGTTAAAGCAAATAACTAATTATGTTAATGCTAAAACTAAGATTTTTCTGGCAAGGGAAAATCCTCCCAAGTCCCAGCACTTTGGGAGGCCGAGGTGGGCAGATGACCTGAGGTCAGGAGTTTGAGACCAGCCTGGCCAACATGGTGAAACGCCATCTCTACTAAAATTGAAAAATTAGCTGGGCATGGTGGCAGGTGCCTGTAATCCCAGCTATTGGGGAGGCTGAAGCAGGAGAATCGCTTGAAACAGGAGGCAGAGATTGCAGTGAGCCGAGATTGTGCCACTGCACTCCAGCCTGGGCAACAGGAACAAAACTCTATCTCAAAAAATAAAACAAGATTTTTCTGAGAAAAAGGTGTAAAACCGTATACTAAATTTGAAATAGAAATATAAGCGTGAACTCATTTGTTGTTCTTTTACCGTAGACACATTTTCTACCTCTGCCCCAGTAGCAGTAGACACATCAAGCACCTAGAAAGTGGTCTCTAATACATGAAAACCATGAATTCATAGTGGTGGTTTCAAAGCCAAAACCAAACAAACACATGTAATTGGTCACTCTTGGAGGTACCTAGGGCACTAACTCCTAACACTGGGAATGGACACTTGAAGGAAGATCAGTAATTATCCTGTCTTTTCTCTACAAATTGCAATTCAGGGAAACCTTGTTGATTAGGGAAAGTTCTTTACATAAGAATTCCTGCAAGTAAGTGAGTAAAGAATGACAGTTTAAGAATTGTCCCAGCCTGGCCAACATAGTGAAACCCCATCTCTAAAAATACAAAAAATTAGCCAGGCATGATGATGGGTGCCTGTAATCCCAGCTACTCAGGAGGCTGAGGCAGGAGAGTTGCTTGAACCTGGGAGACGGAGGTTGCAGTGAGCCGAGAGTGCGCCACTGCACTCCAGCCTGGGCAACAAGAGTGAGACTCTGTCTCAAAAAAAAAAAAAAAGAATTGTCAAATTGCTACCCCTAATGCCATGGTTCTCTAACCTGTGTAACAGGATCAGCTGGAGGGACGCTACCCCAGACCTTCCAATTCAGTCCTGGGGGGACCCTAGTCCAGACCTTCCGATTCGGTCCTGGGGGGGCCCTAGTCCAGACCTTCCAATTCAGTCCTGGGGGGACCCCACCCCAGACCTTCCGATTCAGTCCTGGGGAGACCCTACCCCAGATCTTCTGATTCAGTCCTGGGGGGACCCTCGTCCAGACCTTCCGATTCAGTCCTGGGGGGACCCCACCCCAGACCTTCCGATTCAGTCCTGGGGTACCCCACCCCAGACCTTCCGTTTTCAGTCCTGGAGGGACCCTACCCCAGATCTTCCGATTCAGTCCTGGTTCGGTCTGAGAATTTGCATTTCTAACATGTCCAGGGAACACAGTTTGAAAACCTCCACGGCTAACATGTAATGGGATGACATGGTCCAATAAATGAAGGAAAAATAACAGGTGGCAACCTCAGGCAGCTTCATCCCAACCAGTAAGAAAGTAAATCCTTTTGTAAACTAAGAGGAAGTATTAATATGGGCGTTTGAGCAAACATTTAAGTGTTAGGACAAAGAATTAAAAACTAGCACAGGCACCCCTGAAGCATGATAGGATGGCAACAGAAGGGCTGATTTAGTTTCCAAGAAATAACTGACAGGCAGTGTTGTGCGTGTGTCTACTACTTAGGAACCCAAAACAAACCTTCAGACCGTTTTCATGAGTACTGAGACCAAGAAAACCACTGGGCAGTGGGTGGTCTGGAAATGTAAATGTTGATGGTACTCCAGTAATGAGTCATGGAACAATGTTTCATATTGAAAATGTTTTTGTAAATGTGGGTTTCAGGGTTTCAAAGTGAACCCATATGTGTTAGGAGAAAGGACACACCAAAGAAGTAAAATAATTGGGTCAATATAAAAAGTAGAATATTGCCCAGAGAGAAGATGTGGATAATTCCTAATACGGATCAAAGGCACCAAAAAGGTGAGCTGTGAGTAAGATATTCAGACCTGCACCATCCCAAGCAGTAGCCACAGTGGCAAGTAGCCTCCTCACTGGACAGTGCAGCTACGGAATGATGCCATCACCGGAAAGTTCCATCAGCCAGCACCGATGCAGACCTTTGCAACTGCCCCTCACGCTGGACAGCACCTGTTTGATAGATTGTCCACTACGCAGTGAAAAGCCTGGGTGAAAAGCGGTATTTGGTAGAAGAGCAAAAAGGGGAAAAAAATTAAAAGTAGTAGGTCATTGTCCGCCAAACTGAATTCTGGCAGAAGAATGTTGGAAGCAAGATGGGAGCCACAGGAGAAAGTATCCTTGTCCCAAGACAGGAGGGGGTGCCAGGCATGGTTGGCTCTGTGCCTGGAATTCTATGGCCGGAATCTGGAAAAAGGAAAAGTGACTGGAAAAGGAAAGATTCTGTGTGCTTATGTCAAGATGCAGCCGTCCGTGATCCTGAGAAAATAAGTGAACAAAGTGGCTTTGGAGGGACGCTGTTGGATACACAAACAGATACAATGTGCACTTGCTATGCTTGTTCACACAAAGGACAGGATGGTCATCTGTTCATTGAACAACTACCTGTCGAGGGCCTATATGTGCCAAAGACATCAGATGAACAAGAGGGTGCACTGTGGAAAGCCTCAGGAACACAAGCGCCCAGAAACATTTAGAAAAATTCTAAGGAAAACAGAAAAGGCATTTTCAGATTAGCTCATAGAAATGAGACCAAAGGAAAGACTGGCCCAGTATTTGGATACATTATGTGATAAACCTTAACACAGGGAGGAAAGTGTTATCTTTCAATTAATTTCTCAACTTCTGGAGACCTTAGAACAGACCTGGCTAGGAGGAAATTGAATCCGAGGCAGGTGAGGACATAGTGGTGCCTCGATGCTTCCAGTGATTGCGTCAGCAGAACCAGGGGTGGGAGATGATCTCTCTTTTTGTTGGCAGATGGTGGTGTCTGCTGTAGCTTTGTCCCCTGGTGACGGGACTCAGGCAGTAACCCCCATCATTGGCAATACCCCCACCTCTGAGAATGTGGAGAGGACTTGTGAAGACAATGTTGTCCCAAGCAGCACAGCCCAGGTGCTGACAGGATTCAGAGTTAGAGCTTTCTTAGAGGTCAGGGTTGCGGAAGAGGCAGGGACTGCAGCTGCATAGTTTGTATATGTATCAGGCTAGTATCTTTTGTTCTAGACTCATCCATTTGTACATTCATATGAGTATGCATGCATGGTGTTTTTTCTTTTTCTTTTTCTTTTTTTTTTTTTTTTTGAGATGGAGTCTTGCTGTGTCACCCAGGCTGGAGTGCAGTGGCATAATCTTGCTTGACTGCAAGCTCCGCATTCCGGGTTCAAGAGATTCTCCTGCCTCAGCCTTCCGAGTAGCTGGGATTACAGGTGCCTGCCACCACACTTGGCTAATTTTTGTATTTTTAGTAGAGATGGGGGTTTCACCATGTTGGCCAGGCTGGTGTCGAACTCCTGACCTCAGTGATCCACCTGCCTTGGCCTCCCAAAGTGCTGGGATTACAGGCATTAGCCACTGCGCCCAGCCGTATGTCTCCATCTTTTTATTTCTTGCAATGTGTTGTTAAAGAAGTCAGGTGGTATGTGTACACAAGTAACGTATACTTGTTGAATATTTCTTATTTATCATACCCTGTCTCGTTCCAAAAGGATTTTACATGACTTATAATTTTAATATAATCCGGGGGAGATGGGCAGATTCAGCTCTGGGAGGCCAGCAGAATGGCTTTTAGGTCCTCCTTGGATTCAGAAAATACTTCTTGAAAGATATTTGAGGTAAATCTTACAGGATTAGAGGTTAGCCAGATGAAAAGAAATCAAGAGAGGAGAGAGGAGCCCCCACAAAGGACTGACCCAGGGCAATAACGGGGAAAGAACTTGGAGGTACAGAGGCAGACCTTGGTGTTTCCCAGGGTGTGGGACGTTGGGGGTAGTAAGGCTGGAGTGGGTAGAGGAAAGGGCTAGGGTGACACCACGGGGTATTAGGTGGAACTGAGGGAAACAGAAATAGGAGCAGAGAAAAGGGAATGAGAACGGGAAAGAGGGAGGTGGGAAATAGAAGAGGGAGTTTCCAAACAGCAACAACAACAGAAACAAGTGTTTTGGGTTGTGGAGCGTTTGCCCTGCAGAGAGCTGGGTCTGCCCTTGTCCCTTTTGGGGATTATGAATCAGTGCGTGGAGCCGCGCGGCCACATCCACCATTCACTTGCACTTGAGTGACAGCCAAGCTACAGTCATGAATACGTTTCTTTCTTTTTACAGAAGAACAGTAAATTGACTTTATTCCTTATAAAGGTGATACTGGAGAATGTGACATAGATTTGCTGGCACATGGGTTTCCTATGAGCAAACCCCAGAATTGGACACACGTATCTGGTGCTGCATTGGAATCATCCCAAAAAACCAAGGCTTGCATTGCATATCTATCTGCTGTCTGCTGAAGGAGCCCTGTCTGTGTGCCCAAGGAAGTGACATCCTTGCCAAGGGCTGTCCCTGTCGCAGGAGATGAAGGAGCCCTGTCTATGTGCTCAAGGACAGTGGCTTCCTTGCCAAGGGCTGTCCCTGTTGCAGGAGATGAAGGAGCCCTGTCTATGTGCTCAAGGACAGTGGCTTCCTTGCCAAGGGCTGTCCCTGTTGCAGGAGATGAAGGAGCCCTGTCTATGTGCTCAAGGGCAGTGGCTTCCTTGCCAAGGGCTGTCCCTGTTGCAGGAGATGAAGGAGCCCTGTCTATGTGCTCAAGGACAGTGGCTTCCTTGCCAAGGGCTGTATCTGTTGCAGGAGATGAAGGAGCCCTGTGTGCCTGAGGACAGTGGCTTCCTTGCCAAGGGCTGTCCCTGTAGCAGGGGAAAGCCTTTCAGGACCCTTTCTTAGAGAAATAGGTCTCAAAGTGAATGAATATACCTCCTCACATACTCACCAAGCAGCCTGCAGAGGATACAGCTTTCCATGTGGCTCAGGGAACAGTTGATATCAACAGTCTCTCAATTCCTTTATTATTATTATTATTATACTTTAAGTTCTGGGATACATGTGCAGAACGTGCAGCGTTGTTACATAGGTATATATGTGCCATGGTGGTTTGCTGCACCCATCAACCTGTCATCTACATTGGGTATTTCTCCTAATGCTATCCCTCCCCTTGCCCCCAACCTCCCAACAGGCACCGGTGTGTGATGTTCCCCTCCCTGTGTCCATATGTTCTCATTGTTCAACTTCCACTTATGAGTGAGAACATGCAGTGTTTGGTTTTCTGTTCCTGTGTTAGTTTGCTGAGAATGATGGTTTCCAGTGTCATCCATGATCCTGCAAAGGACATGAACTCATCCTTTTTTATGGCTGCATAGTATTCCATGGTGTCTATGTGCCACATTTTCTTTAACCAGTCTGTCATTGATGGGCATTTGGGTTGGTTCCAAGTCTTTGCTATTGTGAATAGTGCCGCAATAAACATACATGTGCTCGGGGCTGGGCGCGGTGGCTCAAACCTGTAATCCCAGCACTTTGGGAGGCTGAGGCGGGTGGATCACGAGGTCAGGAGATCAAGACCATTCTGGCCAACATGGTGAAACCCCTTCTCTAGTAAAATGCAAAAAATTAGCTGGGCGTGGTGGTGTGTGCCTGTAGTTCCAGCTACTCAGGAGGCTGAGGCAAGAGAATCGCTTGAACCCGGGAGGTGGAGGTTGCAGTGAGCCGAGACCGTGCCACTGCACTCCAGCCTGGCAACAGAGCAAGACTCCGTCTCAAAAATAATAAATAAACATACGTGTGCATGTGTCTTTACAGTAGAATGATTTATAATCCTTTGGGTATATACCCAGTAATGGGATGGCTGGGTCAAATGGTATTTCTAGTTCTAGATCCTTGAGGAATCGCCACACTGTCTTCCACAATGGTTGAACTAATTTGCACTCCCACCAACAGTGTAAAACTATTCCTATTTCTCTACATCCTCTCCAGCATCTGTTGTTTCCTGACTTTTTAATGATCACCATTCTAACTGGTGTGAGATGATATCTCATTGTGGTTTTGATTTGCATTTCTCTAATGATCAGTGACGATGAGTTTTTTTCATGTTTGTTGGCTGCATAAATGTCTTGAGAAGTGTCTGTTCATATCCTTTGCACACTTTCTGATGGGGTTGTTTGTTCTTGTAAATTTACTTAAGTTCCTTGTAAATTCTGGATATTAGCCCTTTGTCGGATGGATAGATTGCAAAAATTTTCTTCCATTCTGTAGGTTGCCTGTTCACTCTGCCTGGTCATATGCAGAAAACCGAAACTAGACCCCTTGCTGACACTTATACAAAAATTAACTCAAGATGCATTAAAGATTTAAACGTGAGACCTAAAACCAGAAAAATCCTAGAAGAAAACCTAGGCAACACCATTGAGGACGTAAGCATGGGCAAAGACTTCATGACTAAAACACCAAAAGAAATGGCAACAAAAGCCAAAATTGACAAAAGGTATCTAATGAAACTAGAGAGCTTCTGCACAGCATGACTGTATTTCAGTGCACGTTTACCACCGAGCTCTTAACGCTCCACCACTGTCCTGTGTCATTAGGATCCCAGCTCTGCAGCCATTCCTCTAGTTGGGCCTGGGTCGGCTCTGGGATGCCGCGGGGGGGCCGGTCGGCGGCGGAGGGGCCAGTGGGGACCCGGGGCAGGGGCGGAGACCCCTCCCACTGCACATCCCACTGCCTGGGTATCTGGCCCCCAACCGGCCTGCCCGCTGCTCCCACCTCCCATGGTGGGTCGGGGGCTGAGGGCTGGGGACTGGGGCAGGGTACCCCAAATATCTCTCGGTGGCGATCGCTCAGTCCGTGCAGTCCATCCAGCTCCTGCATTGTCCGTCCTACCAATAACCTCTCACTTGCAATTCTCAGCCCCTTCCTGCATTGTCTCCCTGTGAGACCTACTAGAACCCCCGCCTTTCACACTGCTGACCTGCTGGGGGAAAATGCACAGAGGCAGAGACGAGGCCACGCGGGAGTCCTGATCTCTAACCCCAGCCGGTCTCAGGCCTTGCCGAGGCAACGCTGCTTCCCCAGACACTCTCCCTTTCCCATTCTTTTTTTTTTTTTTTTTTGAGTTGGAGTCTCGCTTTGCCACCCAGTCTGGAGTGCAGCGGCGCGATCTCAGCTCACTGCACCCTCCACCTCCTGGGTTCAAGCGATTCTCCTGCCTCAGCCTCCCAAGTAGCTGGGATTACAGGCACACACCACCATGCCTGGCTAATTTTTGTATTTTTAGTAGAGATGGGGTTACACCATGTTGGCCAGGCTGGTCTCAAATGCCCGACTTCAGGTGATCCACCCGCCTCGAGCTCCCAAAGTGCTGGGATTACAGGCGTGAGCCATCGCGCCTGCCTTTACTTTCCCATTCTTAACGCCTCCCGTTTCAGACCTGTCCCCTTTTCCCCGCATTTCTGACTGTCACGGCACATCACAACCAGCAGACAGGGCTTCCCCTATTTCACAGGAGAAATAGAAGCCATCAGATGGGACCTCCTTCAAAGTCCTGCCACCAAACCTCAGCATGTACCTGGACCCACATGTATCCTCTTTTCCTTTGGGATTGAATTAGAGAGGTGCCGCTCGAAACCCGCTCCTGGGTGGGAGTCTTGGCTCTATCAGTTATGCCTCTATTCTGTATGTTTAACCTCGCCCTCGTAGGGGCATAAAACAGCATTTAAACAGGATCAAGCTTTCCATTTTAAAACTCCATACACTCCCTTAATTTCATCTCCTCCTCCACCTACTGCCCCATGTCTCTCCCTCTTCCTGGCTAAACGTCTCAAAAAAGTGGATACACTTTCTGTCAACTCCTAAACACTCCTCACGCTCATTTGGCCTCTGCTCCTCCCTTCCTCCTCCCACTTCATTGGAACTACTTCTGCCAAAGAGGATCCCTGAGTCAGCCTGACTGGTAACCCCAATGGACTCTACTCAATATGCAACATCCTTCACTTCTTAGCAGAGTTTGAAACAGCCTGACTCTCCTCTTCTGGCAACATTCTTTTCCTTGGTTTGGGGACGCTGTACTGTTCTGGTTTTGCCCCTCCCTCCGAGCATTCCTTGTGTTTGTCCTGGCCCATTTTCTCCTCTCATTCTACATCCTCTCCCCGGGGATTTTAGCTTCTCTCACGGCTCAGGTTACCATCTCCATAGTGATGACTATCAAATTCTGTACCTCATTTCCAGAGGCTCCTGACAGACTTGCTTGGTCAATATACTACTGGACATATTCATGAGACTGTCTCACACAGGCATCTCGAACCCAGTGTGTCCCACAATTCTCTTCCTATCCATGCCTGTTCCTCTTCCACTGCCTCATATGTCGGTGACTGTCCACCTTCTCTCTCTCTCCCCCTCTCCGTTTGGCTCATAGGAAAAGTGTCACCAAGGGCTGTAAGTGCAGATTTCTAATTATCCCCTAAATTTGAACATTTTTCCTCTCGAAAGTGTATGGCCATTACCCTATTACAGATCAACATCTTCAATCACTGGAATGATGGCAATAATCTAATTGGGTTCATTTTATCCTCTATCTAACAATGACAACTCATTGCCTACACAGCAGGTAGAAGGAGTTTGTTTTCAGAATTGCCCTCTGACCTATTTAAGACGCTCAGATATTCCCTGAGGCTCCTTGGCCTGGCCACAAAGGCCCTACACATTCTGGCTGCTTCCTCCTTTCCAGCATCCTCTCTCACGTCTCCTCTCCTCAGTTCCACCCTCAGGAGGCACCAGAATTCCTCACTTCTTTGACTACAAGGCACCGTCTTACTCCCAAGACCAGTGAATCCGAAGGTGGACCACCAGCTGAGGGACTAGATTCCAGACTGAATAGAACAACTTTCCCTGTCTCTCCACATAAAGTGTGTTTGTTTTTCCTCTTACAGGTTTCCTTAATGACAACAAAAAAGGGAGTAATCCTACCCACTGTAAGAGTCATGACTCTTGATTGCAGCTGACAGAAACTCATGACAGCCTGCTTTAGATGAAGGGGGAGAGAAGGACTGGAAGAATCTTGGAGTTGGGAATGTCACACGTAATTGAAGGAAGAACAAGAAAACTATAGTAAAGAACCCTGGGGTGGTGATGTAGTCATGGGCCAAGTGTCCTGGAACCCTGGGGTGGTGATGTAGTTGTGGGCCAAGTGTCCTGGAACCCTGGGGTGGTGATGTAGTCATGGGCCAAGTGTCCTGGAACCCTGGGGTGGTGATGTAGTTGTGGGCCAAGTGTCCTGGGTTTTGGGTGGAGAAAGAGTCCCCTAGATAAGTTATTAGGTGGGTGCAAAGGTAATTGCAGTTTTTCCCATTATTTTAATTGCGAAAACAGCAATTACCTTTGCACCAACCTGATGGAGTCCCCCTTGCCATGCTTCTCTCTGTGAAAAACCCCAAGCCGAAGTCAGCATAACATCCACAGGACTCTATGTTTGCAAAAGCCAGCTTAGCTATATTACATGTATAAGCACATTTTTTCAATAAGTCAGCCTTAGCTTACTGTAACTTTTTAACTTTATAAACTTAGTATTTTAACTTTTTAAACTTTTTTGTTGAAAACTAAGACACAAAAACACATGTTAGCCTAGATCCACACAGGGTCAGGGTCATCAGTATCACTGTCTTCCACCTCCACATTTTGTCTCTCTGGAAGGTCTTCAGGGGCAATAACACACATGGAGCTGTCATCGCCTGTGGTAACAATGCCTTCTACAGTACTTCCCAAAGGGCCTGCTAGTTCACTTAATTCTTTTATAGAGAGAAGGAGTACACTCTAAAACACTGATCAATAGTATATTATAGTAAATACATAAACCAGGAACACATTTATTATCATTATCACGTATTGTGTATTGTACAGAATGGTGTGTGCTGTGCTATCCAGGAACACATTTATTATCATTATCAAGTATTGTGTACTGTACAGAATGGTGTGCGCTGTGCTTTTATGCAAGTGGCAGCACAGTAGCTTTACACGAGCATCACTAGACACATGAGTAGCATTGCACTCGGCAACAGGAATTTTTTCAGGCCCATTATTATAATCTTATGGGACCGCATCCTATATGCAGTTTGTCATTGACCAAAATGTCCTTATGCGATGCATGACTATATTTGCAAAGGACTAGTATCTAGAATACATTTAAAAGTCTTAAAATAGTAACAAAACAAAGAATGCAATTAGAACATGAGCAAAAGATACAAAGCAACATTTCACTGGAGAAGATATACAGATTGCAAATAAGCACATGAAAAGATGTTTGATACCATTAGGGAAACGCTTCTTTAAACCAGGAGATATCACCACGTGTTAGAATCAACAAAATAAGGCCAGGCATGGTGGCTCACACCTGTAATCCCAACACTTTGGGAGGCTGGGGCAGGCAGATCACATGAGATCAGGAATTCAAGACCAACCTGGCCAACATGGCAAAACCCTGTCTCTGCTGAAAACACAAAAATTAGCCAGGTGTGGTGGCACACGCCTGTAGTCCTAGCACCTTGGGAGGCTGAGGCAAGATAATTGCTTAAACCCAGGAGACGGAGGTTGCAGTAAGCTGAGATCATGCCACTGCGCTCCAGCCTGGGCGACAGAGCAAGATTATGTCTCAAAAAAAAAAAAAAAAAAAAGAATCACCAAAATAAAAAATAGTAACAATACTATTGTCAAGGATGCAAAGGAACTGTACCACTCAATCACTGCTGTGAGAATTTAAAGTGGTGCAGCCACTCTGGGAAACAGCTTGGCTGTTTTTTTTTATGACTGAATGTGCAACTACTATATGATGCAGTAATTTCATTTTTGCACATTTATCCCGGAGAAATGAAAACATATATTCACACAAAACCTGTATATGAATGCTAATAAAAGTCAATTGGCCAGGTGTGGTGGCTCATGCCTGTAATCCCAGCACTTTGGGAGGCTGAGGCAGTGGATCACCTGAGGTCAGGAGTTTGAGACCAGCCTGGCCAACGTGGTGAAAACTCGTCTCTACTAAAAATACAGCAATTAGCTGGGTGTAATAGTAGCCACCTGTAATCCCAGCTACTGGGGAGGCTGAAGCAGAAGAACCTCTTGAACCCGGGAGGCAGAGGTTGCAGTGAGCTGAGATCGTACCACTGCACTCCAGCCTGGGCGATAGAGTGAGACTCTGTCTCAAAAAATAAAATAAAATAAATAAAAAGATTAGATAATCTGCAAAGTTCCTGTGAGCGCTGTCATTTTGTCACTCTGGTTTTTCAGATTCTTCCCCTGGAGGCTGGAGTTTCCAGGATGTCAAAATTACCTCTGCTTGGGTGAGCTATTTCAAGCAGCTGGGATACCTGTGTCACTCCTGCTGTCTGCCAGTGACTGCCCAGGTGTCTGCTGGTTCCTCCCCAGGAGTAGGGAGGAACCAGGTGGGCTGGCTGGGATGGGTGGATATTTAAAGACCAGGCCTTGGACGCTGCAGCACTTCTATCTCTGCTTGATGCCTGCTGCCACGTGGCTGGTCCTCCTCCTCCTGCTGTGGCTGAGCCTTGGGGTGAAGACAGGTGAGGAGCTAGGCTGGCATCTGTGCTACAGGTCAAAGAGACCCCAATCTCTGCTCTCTCATTCATTCAATCAATTAATCTGTTTTGTCTCTGGCATGACCCACCTCCTGTGACCCAGCATTCATTAATTCATTAATCAAATAATTCATGTATTCAGACACTTATTAAGTACCGACTATATGGTTGATGTGGCTTCTTTGTGTATCCAGTTTTATATCTGGATAAGATGTCTTTGGATGATCAGCTTGGGAGGGTCTAGTATCCAGAGGATGCTCCCTCGGATAGAGGCAGCGTGGGCACTGTGGGTGGCTGGGGTGGACGGGACAGGAGGGAAGGTAGGTGTGATAAACCCAGATCCAGATTAACAGGCAGACTCACTGGGCAATTTCCAGGCACCAGTCTACTGGGTTTATTCAAACATCCCTGGAAATACAACAGGGTGAATACAGTTGCATTTACTAGAACTTCTCTCTCTCTCTCCTCTCTCTCTCTTTTTAATTTTTTTTTTTCCAGACAGAGTCTGCTCTGTCCCCCGCCAGGCTGGAGTGCAGTGGTACGATCTCGGCTCACTGCAACCTCCACCTTCTGGGTTCAAGCCATTCTCCTGCCTCAGCCTCCCGAGTAGCTGGGATTATAGGCATGCACCACCATGCCTGGCTAATTTTTGGCATTTTAAATAGAGACAGGGTTTCGCCATGTTAGCCAGGCTAGTCTTGAACTTCTGACTTCAGGTGATCTGCCCACCTCCGCCTCCCAAAGTGTTGGGATTACAGGTGTGAGCCACCGTGCCTGGCCCTAGAACTTCTCTTGGGAGAAAACTAGATGTCATTGGTAGGAACACAGTCAGCTGTTGCTTAATGATGGAGACACATTCTGAGAAATGCATCATCAGATGATTTCTTTGTTGTATGAATATCATAGAGTTCACACAACAATGAAATCGAGAGTTTACATAAACCTAGATGGTTTATATATATATTTATTTACATGTTTGTTTTCCACATGGAAAGCCACATGTCCCAGCACATGTCCCATTACTGAACATCAGTCATTTCCCCTGCTTGATCCTCAAGGCCAATATCGAGCACCATATATCGGGTTTCTGCATATGCCCTATTATAATCTTATGGGGCCACCGTCATATATATGGTCCATCATCGGTCTAAACATCGTGATGTGGCACAAGGCTGTACTTCTTGGCTGGGTGCGGTGGCTCACGCCTGTAATCCCAGCACTTTGAGAGGCCGAGACGGGTGGATCACTTGAGGTCAGGAGTTCAAGACCAGCCTGGGTAACATGGTGAAATACCATCGCTATTAAAATACAAAAATTAGCCAGGTGTGGTGGTGGGTGCCTGTAATCCCAGCTACTTGGGAGGCTGAGGCAGGAGAATCACTTGAACCTGGGAGACAGAGGTTGCAGTGACCCGAGATTGCGCCACTGCGCTCTAGCCTGGGTGACAGAGGGAGACTCCATCTCAGGAAAAAAAAAAAAAAAAAACCCAAAGCTATTTATTGTGGAAAAATTCAAACACATGCAAAAGTAAAGAGAATAGGATGATGAACCCAAGGTACCAGTTGGCCACCTTCAATATTATCAACATTATGCTCAAGCTCTTATCCCCCATATTTAAAAAATATAACCACAATACCTTATCAGAGCCAAAACAAATATGGTCGCACACCTGTAATCCCAACACTTTGAGAGACTGAGGCGGGCAGATCGCCTGAGGCCAGAAGTTCAAGACCAGCCTGGCCAACATGGTGAAACCCCTGTGTCTACTAAAAATACAAAAATTAGCTAGGCATGGTGGCGGGTACCTGTAATCCCAGCTACTCGGGAGGCTGAGGCAGGAGAATCACTTGAACCAGGGAGGTGGAGGTTGCAGTGAGCCGAGATTGCGCCACTGCACTCCAGCCTGGGCAACAGAGCAAGACTCTGTCTTTAAAAAAAAAATTAATTAATTAATTAATTTAAAAAACTACTTACTATCGTTTAATACCTATCAGTGTTCATATTTCCCCCACTTGTCAAAAATATCTTGTTATTCAGCAGCAAAGCAGAAGAGAAAAAGAAAAAATAAGATCAGATGTGGTGGCTGATGCCTGTAGTCCCAGCACTTTGGGAGGCCAAGGTGGGAGGATCACTGGAGCTCAGGAGTTTGAGACCAGCCTGGGTACAATAGCGAGACTCAGTCTCTACAAAAAAAAAATTTGTTTAAAAATTAGCAAGGTGTGTTGATGTTCACCTATAGTCCCAGCTATTCAGAAGGCTGAAGTGAGAAAATTGCTTGAGCCCCAGAAGTTGCGGCTGCAGCGAGCTGTGACCATACCACTGCATTCCAGTCTGCTGCACCGAGTGAGACCATGTCTCAAAAAAAAAAAAAAAAAAAAAAAAAAAAGAAAGAAAGAAAAATGCCTTTTTACAGCTGGTTTATTCAAGTCAAGATCCAAAAAAGATACGCACACATGTTTAACTAGCATATTTCTTAAATGTCTTTAAATCTATACCTAGATCAGTGCCATTTTTTCATGTCATTTAGCTGTTGAACGAACCAGGTACTGTGTCCTGCGGCATATCCTACCTTCTGGGTTTGACTGATTGAATCTTTGTGGATGTCCCTCTGCCTCTGTCTTTCCTGAACTCTGGTAGTTGAGATCAGGACTGGAGATTTCTTAGGCAGGAAGAATCCATAGGTGGGTACTTCCTATCGCACCTCGAAGGAGACACAAAGTGTCCAGCTGTCCCACTTTTACTGGTGTTAAACTTCATCCACCAGATAGTGCACCCATTATAAAATTCTGTCCACTAATGATTTGTGCTGAGATCCACTTCTCATTAGGGGCTGCCAAGTAGTGCTTTTCTATCATTCTTTCTGCACTTGTTAGCCGAAGGTTCTCTGTCGTGAAGATATTTCCCTTGTCAACTATTTGGCTTGGATGGAAAGGCTGGATCAATGTTTGATTCTTTATTTTTCATCTTCATAATAATGAGCTAGCTCCTCGGCACCCCGGGGGAAGTTGTCTTCAAATGCTGCCTTGAAGCATAGAATATTTAATTCTAATGGATATGGGAGGGAAGGGCCTTCCAAGCCGAGGGAAGAGCTTGAGCAAAGGCTCAGAGGCAGGAGAATGCAGGGTGTTTAGAGAACAGCAGAGCTCCGTAGCACGTGCAACAAGAGGCTTTTTGAGTGAGGACCCTGAGCACGATATGGTGGGAAAGCAGGGGAGAGGTCAGGATTGCTGGTTTGACTCCCAGCCATGGGCAAAAGGTTCTCCCCTTGTCTATACAATGAGGACATCTCTCTAGATCAGTGGCTTTCCAACGTTTCTGGCCCCAGTTCACTTTAATAAATACATTTTATACTCTGACCCAGTAAGTGCATCTGTGTGTATAAAAACCAACAGAAATTTCAAAAAGAACTCAGTTGACTTTTACATACAATGTATGTGGGTCTATTCTATTCTATTTCATTCAGTGTCATCCTGTTGAAATAAATGTTGGTTATGACCACTGAATTGAACTCAGTCTCACAGATTGTCGGCAACCTTAGTCTGGGTGGCTCCTGGGGCTCTATTTCCACTCCAGCCCTTTCTGGTTGATCCCTGGTCTTGGTGACAACCTGACGCAGCACCAGGCTCTGGAGAAGAGGGACAACATGAGAAGAGAAGCTGATCACTTGCAGGAGGCTCCTGAGCTGAACATGAGGCAAAAGCCAGGCCAAACTCAGAGGCTGTGGCCCCAGCCAGGCCACCCTCACCTTCAGAGTCTTGACCCCCCAGACCACACTACCGGACACCTGCTGGCCCTGTTTCCACAACAGACTGGCTCAGCCACACCCAGGCCCACAGGGCTCAGAGGCCTGCTCCCTGTTGATCGTGTCAACTTTGAAAGGCCTTCAAGTTTATCCCTAAACAAAGCCCTCCAGTTTAGCCCTAAAGAGCCAGGTGTTAACCTAACAGGAAGCAATTTGGAAGGTCAAAGTCAAGTAGACGGAGAAGAGTGTTGAGAGTCCTGGGGTGACAACACCTGGGTCCCCTGCTCACCTGAGCCACAGACTCGCCAGGTAACTGGGCCAGCGTCCCTCCTGCCCACGCCTTGCTTGCCGCACTCTTAAAGAAGATGCATCCCCTTCTCTTGGAGGGAATGACAATGACCAGATCACAACTGAGCTGAGCAATTTGGGGAAATTTGGGCAGGGGGTAGAGTTGGCAGAACTGGTTTGTAAACAGGGCTCTGGAAGACCTTCCTCTAACTGTGGGGAGTGGGGGAGGGGTTTCTCTCCCTCTTAGGCACTCTCTTCTCTGCTGTTTTCTCTATTTCTCTCTTCGCTGTCACTCCCATTACCGTCCTCATCTTATCTCCCCCTTTTCTCTCCTTCTCTCTCTCTCTGTTTAATAACAGCTTTATTGAGAGATAATTTACAGGATGTGAGATTTACCCTTTTGTACAATTCACCATGTGTACATTTCAGTGTTGTTCAGTGTATTCACAGGGTTGCAGAACCATCACTGCTGTCTTATTTTATTTTTTTGGCACTTTTTGGTAGAGACAGGGTTTTGCCACGTTGGCCAGGCTAGTCTCAAACTCCTGACCTCAAATGATCTGCCCGCCTCGGCCTCCCAAAGTGCTGGGATTACAGGTGTGAGCCACTGCGCCTGGCCACCTCTGTCTAATTTCAGAACATGTTTGTTATGCCCCAAATAAACTCTGACCCATCAGCAGTCACTGCCTGGTCCACACATCTCACCAGCCCCTGGCAACCACTAATATACTTTCTGTCTTGATGGATTTGTCTATTCTAAACATTTCATATAAATGGAATCATACAATACACGGCCTTTTGTGAGTGGCTTCTTTCACTTAGCATGTTTTCAAGTTTCATTGTTGTTGTGGCATGCATCTGTACTTCATTCCTTTTTATGGCTGAGTAATATCCCATTATATGGATATACCAGATTTAGTTTTAGCCATTCATCAGTTGAAGGGCATTTGAATTGTTTCTACTATTTGGCTATTATGAATAACACTGCTATGAATATTCATTGATAGGTTTTTGTGTGAACATGTGTTTTTAATTCTCCTAACTACAGGCTCAGAAGTAGGGTTTCTGGGTCATATGGCAACTCTATGTTTACATTCTGAGAAACTGTCAAATTGTTTTTCTTTTTTTTCTTTTTTTTTTTTATTCTTTTCTGCTGCCACCTCATCTCCCCAAATTGATTTTCAAAGTGGCTGCACCATTTTGCAATTCCACCAGCAGTGTATGAGGGTTCCAATTTCTCCACACCCTCAGCAACACTTCAACACTTGCTTTTTTTTTTTTTTTTTTTGAGATGGGGTCTCGCTCTGTCGCCAGGCTGGAGTGCAGTGGCGTGATCTCAGCTCACTGCGACCTCTGCCTCCTGGGTTCAAGAGATTCTCGTGCCTCAGCCTCCTGAGTAGCTGGGACTACAGGTGCATGCCACCACACCCAGCTAATTTTTGTATTTTTAGTAGAGACGGGTTTCACTATGCTGGCCAGGATGGTCTCAAACTCCTGAACTCGTCATCCACCCATCTCAGTGTTCCCAAGTGCCGTGATTACAGGTGTGAGCCACCCCACCCAGCCAACACTTGCTGTTTTATTTTTTATCTTAGCCGTCCTACTGGATGTGGGGTGGTATCTCATTGTGGTTTGGATTTGCATTTCCTTATGATTAATGATGTTGAGTATCTTTCATGCTCACTGGCCACTTGTGTATCTTCTTTGGAGAAATGTCTATTTAAATCCTTTGTCCAGTTTTAAATTTGATTGACTTATTTTTATTTATTTATTTATTTTGGAGGCAGAGTCTTGCTCTGTTGCCCAGGCTGGAGTGCAGTTGTGCAATCTTGGCTCACTGCAACCTCCACCTCCTGGGTTCAAGCAATTCTCCTGCCTCAGCCTCCTGAGTAGCTGGGACTATAGGTGCATGCTACCAAGCCCAGCTAATTTTTGTGTTTTTAGTAGAGACGGGTTTCACCATGTTGGCCAGGCTGGTGTTGAACTCCTGGCCTCAAGTGATCTGCCTGCCTTGGTCTCCCAAAGTGCTGGGATTACAGGCATGAGCCACCGCACCCAGCCAGTTTCAGCTCTTACATTTAGGTCTATGGTCCATTTTGAGTTAATATTTGTATATGGTTTGAGGTAGGAGTCCAAATGCATTCTTTTGCATGTGCTTATCCAGTTGTCTAAGCACCATTTGTTAAATCTATCTTTTCTTTTCCTTTTTTTTTTTTTTTTTTTTTTTTTGAGACAGGGTCTTGCTCTGTCACCCAGGCTGAAGTGCGCTGGTGTGATCATGGCTCACTTCAGCTTCCTGCGTCTGGGCTCAAGTGATCTCCTGTCTCAGCCTCCTGGGTAGCTGGGACTACAGGCGTGCACCACCATACCTGGCTAATTTTAATCTTTTTTTTTTTTTTTAATGTTCCTTTTTCTCCAGGCAGCTGCTCCCAACCCCAGAACCTTTGCTGTCTTGGGACGGATCACCGCTGCAAGAGGGGAAGTTGCTACTGTGATGAATTCTGCCATGTGGCACCAGACTGCCACCCAGACCACAGTGTCCTCTGCAACCCTGGTAACTCACATACAGGCCCGATTCCACCTACAGCAAAGCTGGATGCGATGGCTGGCAGAGGCAAACCCTTTGCCTGCACTTCAGGCCAAAGCCGGGATGTGGCCTAGATGGTTCCTAAGGTCCCTGACAATCCTGAGATCTTGCATCTTGTCTATTTCAGGTCAAAGGTGCCTACATGCTCCTTCTAGCTTTGTTTCCCTGATGTTCCTTGCCACCTGCTACTCCTCTCTGAGCTACTTTTCCAGGTTCCACAGGGAGAGGTTCAGCTGTCCGTGGTAGACATGAGGGTAGAGAATGAGGTGGTTGGGTTCCACTTACCTTTCTATCATCTTGCAGTATGGATGTCTCTTGACTGGTACCGTGTAGACTTTTGAGGGCACACAGGAGTCTGCAGAGAGATACTGGGGACATTGAGCAGCAGCAGTGGGGTTGGGAGGCAGAAATGAGGACAGGAACATTTACCTTGTGTTTCTCTCAGCTTCTCAGATGACCAAGATGGTGCTGCAGATGGTGCTGAGGATGGAGAACCCACCAAGCCCCGCTAGGAGCCACCTAGACTGGATGCAGAGCATGGTGAGCTCCCTGCAGGTTCTCTGAGAAGGGGTGGATGGCAGCCTGCTCCTTGCCTTTGTGCCCTCCAGGCCCCAAAGTCAGGGAACCAAAAGAAGAAAGGGGCCGTAGCTAGGGCAGAGCTCCACTGCAATGATTGTTTTAGGGGTAGGAGCCAGGATTGCCGTCTGTGGACACTGAAATTTGAATCTCATATACTTTTGTGACAAAACATTCTTCCTCTTTTGTTCTTCTCCTACCATCTAAAAATGTAGAAAACATTCTTAGCCTATGAGTTGCACAAAAACAGGCAGTGGCCAGATTTGGCCCATAGACCATAGTTTGCTGACTTCTGCCCTAAATCATCCTCCATTTCTTTCCTTCTGTGTCCTTGTTACTGACAAAGCCACTTTCCCTAAAATGGGGTCTTTCCCTGTTTGGTGCCATGAAGCCAATATGCAAAACCGAAAGTGAGCCTCAAGCAGTGCAGGCTTTATTTGGTGGCCATGGAATTGAGAAGTGAGAGCTTGGCTCACAAATCAACTTTTCTGCTCGTGAGACCCAGGAAGTCACAGATACAGGGCATCTTTAGTGAAGGGGCTGAGCATTAAAAGCAAGGGGAGGAGTGGCCAGGTGCAATGGCTCACTCCCATAAACCCAGAACTTTGGGAGGCCAAAATGAGAGGATTGCTGAGACCAGGAGTTCGAGACCATCCTGGTCAACATAGTGATACACCCCCATCTCTACAAAAATAAAAATGAAAAAAGCAAGGGGAGGAATCATGTGTTTTCTGGGTCTGGGTGGAGAAATTTTCAAAACCAGAGTGCCACCTTCCTATTTGTTTTTTTATGTTATTTTTTCCCATCATTGTCATGTTGGTTGTTGACTGTTACGGTGTTAGTGGGACTGTCATTTAACATGGAAATTAGATTATAATGAAGTTAGAGGTCAAATGAGCTGCCATCTTGGATTCCATCAGTCTTAGCTGGTTTGATCACCAGGGAGAAGTTTGGACCTCAGGCATCCTGCTTCCTAAAGATAAACAGTGTTAAGGCAGGGTAGATATTCACGGAGGTCATGTGGGTATTGCACTGGATGACATCTTGGCTTCAGCCCTGATCTGTTCAGAGCCCTCAGCACGGTACTGGAGGAGAGGCCTTGGGCCGCATCGTGGCATATTGTGGCTTTGGGGAGAAAGAAAAGCAGATAGTGCAATGGAAAGAGCGTGGACTTGAGAGTCAGACTTGACTTCAACTCCTAGCTCTACCACTTACCACCTAGGTGACCTCAAGCCACTTTCTCAGCCTTTCTGAGACTCTGTATCCTCATGTGTATCCTAGAGTTTGTCTGATAGGGCTATAGTGAGAATTAATTGAATTAAGTATAGTGAGAATTAAGCCAGGTCTGGAGAGGCCTGGCTACTGGTGAGTGAGGTAACTGAGATCAGGTATGGAGAGGACTGGCTCCTGGTGAGTGAGTTAATTGAGATGAGGTATGGAGGGACCTGTCTCCTGGTGACTGAGTTAATTGAGATGAGGTGTGGAGGGACCTGGCTCCTGGTGAGTGAGTTAATTGAGATCCATTAGGGAGGGACCTGGCTCCTGGCGAGTGAGTTAATTGACACCCGGTATGGAGGGACCTGGCTCCTGGCGAGTGATTTAATTGAGACCCGGTGTGGAGGGACTTGGCTCCTGGTGAGTGAGTGAATTGAGATGAGGTATGGAGGGACCTGTCTCCTGGTGAGTGAGTTAATTGAGATGAGGTGTGGAGGGACCTGTCTCCTGGTGAGTGAGTTAATTGAGATGAGGTGTGGAGGGACCCGGCTCCTGGTGAGTGAGTTAATTGAGACTCGGTGTGGAGGGACTTGGCTCCTGGTGAGTGAGTGAATTGAGATGAGGTATGGAGGGACCTGGCTCCTGGTGAGTGAGTGAATTGAGATGAGGTGTGGAGGGACCTGTCTCCTGGTGAGTGAGTTAATTGAGATGAGGTATGGAGGGACCTGTCTCCTGGTGAGTGAGTTAATTGAGATCAGGTATGGAGGGACTTGGCTCCTGGTGAGTGAGTTAATTGAGACTCTGTGTGGAGGGACCTGGCTCCTGGTGAGTGAGTTAATTGAGATGAGGTATGGAGGGACCTGGCTCCTGGTGAGTGAGTTAATTGAGATCAGGTATGGAGGGACCTGGCTCCTGGTGAGTGAGTTAATTGAGATGAGGTGTGGAGGGACCTGGCTCCTGGTGAGTGAGTTAATTGAGATGAGGTATGGAGGGACCTGGCTCCTGGTGAGTGAGTTAATTGAGATCAGGTATGGAGGGACCTGGCTCCTGGTGAGTGAGTTAATTGAGATGAGGTATGGAGGGACCTGGCTCCTGGTGAGTGAGTGAATTGAGATCAGGTATGGAGGGACTTGGCTCCTGGTGAGTGAGTTAATTGAGACTCTGTGTGGAGGGACCTGGCTCCTGGTGAGTGAGTTAATTGAGATGAGGTATGGAGGGACCTGGCTGCTGGTGAGTGAGGTATGGAGGGACCTGGCTCCTGGTGAGTGAGTTAATTGAGGTCAGGTATGGAGGGACCTGGCTCCTGGTGAGTGAGTTAATTGAGATCAGTTATGGAGGGACCTGGCTCCTGGTGAGTGAGTTAATTGAGATGAGGTATGGAGGGACCTGGCTCCTGGTGAGTCTCCTGGAGGCAGCTGCTATCTGGGAACACAGGCACAGGTGGGAACAGACCTTCACTTCCTGCTCACTTAGGTTCAGTGAGTTCTCCAAACCAGCCTCCCAGGAATGCCATTCAACATGGCTGTGAGGAGAATAAAGAAGAGAGCCTGACTCCTCTCCTGAGGCCCCTTCCCCACCCTGAGCCAGCAGGATCCACGGAGCAGAGGTCATCTGTCCCCAGCTTGGCCCACTGAGGCCAGCATGGCTGGGCCCAGGATGCTTGTCTCTCAGCTCCCATCCTGTGTACTTCCACATTGGTTTAACCAGAGGAAAACCGAAATCTACAATTGTCATAAACACATTTAAATGTGCGTAGAATCAGCCATACAAATTGTGAAACATACATTTGGCTCATGGTATTATTCACTGTTTTGTGGTGGTTACAGTGACTATAGCAAACATTTCTTGAAAGTAGAAAATAAGAACCCAGCACCCCTTGAGCTAAGTAATGTGCCCTCTGTCCTCAATATTCCTTCCTGGGCTCCACATTACTGCCCTTAAGTCTGGAAATATTCTGGTCTGAGCCCCGTAGTCCAGGCCTCATGTTCAGGCTTTCTGTCCCCAGTGATGAGAGGAGAGACGGCAGACCTGTCTCCGGTGAGCTCAGATGGGCCTCCCGGAGTCTCCTGGGGTGCACAGGATTTCAAAGATCCAGGAGGCGCTGCCAGGGGCTGTGAGGTCTGATGAACCTCTCACCTTCCCTCCCACACCTGCCCTTTTCCTGTTTCTGTGGATGCTTTTGCTGTCCTTGGCTTCCTGGACTCCAGACCTCAGGGTCATCTTTTGCTTCTCTCTGCAAGGTGCCAAGTCTCTCTAGGTTTTTGTTTGTTTGTTTTGTTATTGAGACGGAGTCTCACTCTATTGCCCAGGCTGGAGTGCAGTGGTGCGATCTCAGCTCACTGCAACTTCCGACTCCCTGGTTCAAGCAAATTCTCCTGCCTCAGCCTCTGGAGTAGCTGGGATTACAGGCGCCCGCCACCACGCCTGGCTATTTTTTTTTTTTTCTAGTAGAGATAGGGTTTCACCATGTTGGCCAGGCTGGTCTCGATCTCCTGACCTCATGATCCACCCGCCTTGGCCTCCCAAAGTGCTGGGATTACAGGAGTGAGCCACTGTGCCCGGCCGTCTCTCTAGTTTTACTTTGCAATGTCGTTCATATCCATCCCCTTTCTAGTGCCACTGCTGAAGTCCTAAGTCACTGCCTCCTAACTGGTCCTCCTGCCCTAACTCCTCCCTGACCAGTCCTCCAGCCCTAAGTCTCCTCCCTGACCTGTCCTCCTGCCCTAACTCCTCCCTGACCGGTCCTCCTGCCCTAACTCCTCCCTGACCGGTCCTCCTGCCCTAACTCCTCCCTGACCGATCCTCCTGCCCTAACTCCTCCCTGACCTGTCCTACTGCCCTAACTCCTCCCTGACCGGTCCTCCTGCCCTAACTCCTCCCTGACCAGTCCTCCTGCCCTAAGTCTCCTCCCTGACCGGTCCTCCTGCCCTAAGTCTCCTCCCTGACCTGTCCTCCTGCCCTAACTCCTCCCTGACCAGTCCTCCTGCCCTAACTCCTCCCTGACCGGTCCTCCAGCCCTAACTCCTCCCTGACCAGTCCTCCTGCCCTAAGTCTCCTCCCTGACCGGTCCTCCTGCCCTAACTCCTCCCTGACCGGTCCTCCTGCCCTAACTCCTCCCTGACCGGTCCTCCAGCCCTAACTCCTCCCTGACCGGTCCTCCTGCCCTAACTCCTCCCTGACCGGTCCTCCAGCCCTAACTCCTCCCTGACCAGTCCTCCTCCCCTAACTCCTCCCTGACCCGTCCTCCTGCCCTAACTCCTCCCTGACCTGTCCTCCAGCCCTAACTCCTCCCTGACCAGTCCTCCAGCCCTAACTCCTCCCTGACCGGTCCTACTGCCCTAACTCCTCCCTGACCGGTCCTCCTGCCCTAACTCCTCCCTGACCAGTCCTCCTGCCCTAAGTCTCCTCCCTGACCGGTCCTCCTGCCCTAAGTCTCCTCCCTGACCTGTCCTCCTGCCCTAACTCCTCCCTGACCAGTCCTCCTGCCCTAACTCCTCCCTGACCGGTCCTCCTGCCCTAACTCCTCCCTGACGAATCCCCCTGCCCTAAGTCTCCTCCCTGACCGGTCCTCCTGCCCTAACTCCTCCCTGACCGGTCCTCCTGCCCTAACTCCTCCCTGACCAGTCCTCCTGCCCTAAGTCTCCTCCCTGACCGGTCCTCCTGCCCTAACTCCTCCCTGACCGGTCCTCCTGCCCTAACTCCTCCCTGACCAATCCCCCTGCCCTAACTCCTCCCTGACCAATCCCCCTGCCCTAACTCCTCCCTGACCGGTCCTCCTCCCCTAACTCCTCCCTGACCTGTCCTCCTGCCCTAACTCCTCCCTGACCGGTCCTCCAGCCCTAACTCCTCCCTGACCCGTCCTCCAGCCCTAACTCCTCCCTGACCTGTCCTCCTGCCCTAAGTCTCCTCCCTGACCAGTCCTCCTGCCCTAAGTCTCCTCCCTGACCGGTCCTCCTGCCCTAAGTCTCCTCCCTGACCGGTCCTCCTGCCCTAAGTCTCCTCCCTGACCAGTCCTCCTGCCCTAACTCCTCCCTGACCGGTCCTCCAGCCCTAACTCCTCCCTGACCGGTCCTCCTGCCCTAAGTCTCCTCCCTGACCCGTCCTCCAGCCCTAACTCCTCCCTGACCGGTCCTCCTGCCCTAAGTCTCCTCCCTGACCGGTCCTCCTGCCCTAAGTCTCCTCCCTGACCGGTCCTCCTGCCCTAAGTCTCCTCCCTGACCAGTACTCCTGCCCTAAGTCTCCTCCCTGACCGGTCCTCCTGCCCTAAGTCTCCTCCCTGACTGGTCCTCCTGCCCTAAGTCTCCTCCCTGACTGGTCCTCCTGCCCTAACTCCTCCCTGACTGGCCTCCATCCAAGCAGAGCTTGAGTATTGCTGGTTCCCTGCTCAAACCCACCACTGGTTGCTGGTTCCCTGCTCAAACCCACCACTGGCACTGGCTTCCCATCACATACAGAATAAAGGCTAAATGTCTGTGCTTGGCACAGAAAGTCATCAACAGGCCCCAGAGCACGTTTCTGGTGTTATCTTCTGCTAATGCCCTGCCCTCACTCCTATGCTGCAGCTGAATGGAACGAGCCATTATCCCCTCAGGAACGCTGGCTTCTCAGTAAACGATTATAGCCCAGAAGCTCTGTCATCACAGAACCTAGCTATTGGCTAATGGGTCAGCTTTGGCTTCATTTCTCTGAATAATTTATTTCAAAACATAATCCCAAGGAACAAGGTTAGGAAAAGGGGAGGGTGACAGGGACAGAGGGAGAGCCTATGCAAAGACGTGTTATCCAGTTGGCCCCTGCTGTGGCTGGCTGGTTGCTCAATCCTGTAAGATCTTCTAAGAAGCTTTATGAGATGTAGTGAGAACCACCTGTCCTGGGGATGAGTCTGTCTGTCGGCTTCCATTCCTCATGGGTTATGAGTTGCTCCACAGGATTCTGGATGTATACAGATGCTCTTCATCTTAGGAAGGGGTTACGTCCCAATAAACACGTGGTAAGTCAAAAATACTGTAAGTCAGAAACACATTTAATACCCTGATAAGCCCATCATAAAGTCAAACAATTTTAAATCCAATCATTGTAAGCCAGGACCATCTGTATACCCAAGACATACACAAGGATGTTCATAGCAGCTTTATTCAAAATAGTGAAAAACAAAACAATCCAAATGCACAGCAATAGGAAAACAGACAAATAAATTGTGGTATATTTATACAGTGGAATACTATGCAACAACAAAAAAGGATGAAGCATAATACTACACACAGCGTGAGTGAGTCTCACAGACACAGTGTTAACAGAGAGAATCCAGACACAAAAGAGCCTATCTATGCATGATTCCATTTATATGAAGTTCAAAGACATGCAGAGCTAATCTATGGTGATAGAGATAAGAATGGTGGTTACACTGAAATGGGAGGATCGCTCAAACCCGGGAGGCGGAGGCTGCAGTGAACCATGATGGAGCTGCACTCCAGCTTTGGAGACAGAGCGAGACCCTGTCTCTAAAAAAAAAAAAAAAATGATTGTTCCATTCTGTGGTGGCAAGTGGGGGCTTGACTGGAAGGGAACACAAGGGCACCTGTTGAGGTGCTGAGCACGTTCTGTATCTTGACCTGAGTGTCGGATACATCCTGGGGATACATACGTACATAAAAATTCATCAGGGTATACGCTACTTAAGCTGGGCGTAGTTTACAGTATGTAGGTTACAACATAAAAAAGAAGTGAATGAACCAAAGAATACTGGGCTCCCTGGCGTTTCCTCTTCTGCAACCCAAGGAAATAAGCCTCGGTGTGGAGAGGGCCTGTCCTCAGGGCCTGGCAGATGTAGGCGATTCTTACCACGTCTCCTTCGGTAAGCCCACCTGGCAAGTTCTCATCCACATAATCTGTGCATGCTCAACATTTGAAACCAGTGGGGACCCATTCGGACCCCAAGAGTTGGTATTAGAGATCATTTTAAAGTGAAAACTGGCCAGGCACGATGGCTTACACCTGTAATCCCAGCACTTTGGGAGGCTGAGGTGGGCGGATCACATGAGGTCAGGAGTTCGAGACCAACTTGGCCAACATGGTGAAACCCTGTTGACTCAGGATGACTCAGATTAGAGCAGGTGACTGGGGGTGACTCAGGATGGAGCAGGTGATAGAGGCTAGGAGGGGGTTGTTTACTGAAACTAGGGGCAAGGAGATGAAGAAAACGAGGAAGTTAAACTTTAAAATGAAGAGCTGAACATACTGATACATTGATTCTTTGGAGAGGATCTCAGAACTCATTGTACTTAACAATTTACAGGCTAAAACCTTTGAAGAAGAATTTATTATATCCTACAAACCTGGGAGGCAGAGGTTGCAGTGAGCCAAGATTGGGCCATCGCACTCCAGCCTGGGCAATAAGAATGAAACTCTGTCTCAAAAAAAACAAAAGTTGGCCAGGGCTGGGCGTGGTGGCTCACACCTGTAATCCCAGCACTTTGGGAGGCTAAAGCAGGTGGATCACCTGAGGTCAGAAGTACGAGACCATCGTGGCTAATATGGTGAAACCCCATCTCTACTCAAAATACGAAAAAAGAAAAAAAAAATTAGCCAAGCACGGTGGTGCACGCCTGTTATCCCAGCTGCTTAGGAAGCTGAGGCAGGAGAATTGCCTGATCCCAGAGGCAGAGGTTGCAGTGAACTGGGATTGTGCCACTGCACTCCAGCCTAGGCGACAGAGCAAGATTCTGTCTCAAAAATAAATACATAAATAAAGTTTTAGAGCAGGAATGAAAGGAAGTAAAGTACACTTGGAAGAGCTGTGTTGGCAACTGGAGAGATCCGAGTGCCTCATCTGACCCTTGACTTGGGATTAATACATTGGCATGAGATGTGAGCAGTGACTCAAAGTTGCTCAGAAAAAAATCTTCCCCCGCTATTTAGTACTGCAGCTGGCACCTGCCCTCCCCACGCACTGCAGCTGGCACCTGCCCTCCCCACACCAGTATTTGGTACTGCAGCTGGCACCTGCCCTCCCCTCTGCTATTTAGTACTGCAGCTGGCACCTGCCCTCCACACAGCAGTATTTAGTACTGCAGCTGGCACCTGCCCTCCCCACACCAGTATTTAGTACTGCAGCTGGCACCTGCCCTCCCCACACCAGTATTTAGTACTGCAGCTGGCACCTGCCCTCCCCACGTCAGTGTTCAGGATTCTTTCTCTCTGTTTTTCTTTTTTTTCCATAGTTTTCACCTTTCTATAATTCACTTATTTGTTATGTTTATTGTTTTGTGAAAGGAAAATAAATCTTGGGCCCCCAAAATCACTAAGCTAAAGGGGAAAGTCAAGCCGGGAATGGCTTAGGGCCGACCTGCCCCCCATTCTATTCAAAATCACCCCCTGCTCACTGAGATAGATGCATATCTGATTGCCTTCTTTGGAAAGGCCCATCAGAAACTCAAAAGAATGCGACCTTTGTCTCTCACCCACCTGTGACCTGGAAGCTTTCTCCTGGCTGCGAGTTGTCCCACATTTGCTTGGCGTTGCCCGGCCTTTTCCAGACTGAACCAATGTTCATCTTACATGTGTTGATTGATGTCTCATGTCTCCCTAAAACGTATGACCACCTTGGCACATGTCGTCAGGACATCCTGAGGCTGTGTCACGGGTGTGCATCTTCAACCTTGGAACAATAAACTTTCTAAATTAACTGAGACCTGTCTCAGATTTGGGGGGTTCACATTTTGGTAACCATGGAGGGATTCTGAGTTGAGGTACCCCTGACCTTTGACAGATCTATTGGTGCTTGGTAGCACCATGAGCTAACCTTATGGCTCAAACCAACAGGACAATTTGCTGAGGTCTGGGAGCACCCCCTCCATAGAGTCCCTGATCTCTCAAAACTTGGTCGTGATCTAAAGTTTATTTGATGTACAACTCCCCCTCTCCTTCTTTTGGAGTTTTATTTGCTTCCAAGAAGGAAGGCAAGATTTCCTGGGTCCGTGATGATGGAAGGCTGACAACTCTTTTATGGAGTTTGAGCTTGCTCCCAGCAGGGAAGACAAGTTCGAGTTTTTTTCCTGCTTCAAGGATGGTAGAGAGCAGTCTTCAGCCTGAGACCCATCCCTAGGTAAGTAGCTGAACTGAGGTTTTGTCTTGGCTGAAGGTTAACAACCAGCTGGTCTGAATTTCTTCTTCCCATTAGAGCAGTCTGTGGTCATATCATTTGACTTTTGTTGTTGTTGTTTTTTCTGGTCTTTCTCTCATCAGATTTGACCAACTCTACCTGACTTGGTCAAATCCAAGTGAGAATTCCAAATTATGGGTAACAAAGCCTCTCTAATTTGGCTAAAATTCCTTGCAGCTGCAAAAGAGGAAAAAACTAAACGAAAACAACAAATCACGTGCTTGGTTTCTGTGTTTGCTTTCTGTCTTAAAAAACAAACAAACAAAAACAACAAATGCTCTTTCACTTACTTTTCTTCCTCCCTATACCTCCTCCTGCCTTTGCCATCTGCGGGACCAAAAAAATCTAGAGAAGGCTTCCAATGACTCGAGCCCCTTTAAAGGATCCGGAACAAAGGGGCCACTCACCCCTTCCAGGGTGCTCTGTTTTCTTTGTGGAGTTTCAAGAGTGATGGGCGGATTCTTCTTAGGTCTAAAGCTCTGCTGTCTTCCTGTACGGCATGACCTGACCTCTTTGGCTTTGGGGGAACCAGAGATGACCCTGCACTGTGAGAGGATTTGACCTTGGCGTGTGTAATGGCAGACGAGAACTACAAAGAAGGGGTGGCTGAGCACAGTTTACAGGGAATGGTCTTGGCTGTTTTTTTGTTTTTTTTTTTTTCTCTTCTAGGAAGCTGTGATTTAAGGATCCTAATTCTAGTTCAGAGATGCATCCTAAAGGGTCTTCTCTATTGCTTTTTCTCCCAAAATGAATCTCAGTTTGGGTTGTCTATGTATTTGCATGAGGAACTGAACTGTTGTTGTCATAGGTAAATGAGAGATTGAGTTTTCTCAGCTCCAAAGAGAAAGGGCGTTTGCTCCTCCCAGCCGAGTACTCCATAGGGTTCATGGCGCCTCTACTTGCCAGAGTTTATGTAAAGTGGAAGTAATATGGTCTTTCTGCACATTTACATTAAAAAAAAAGGAGCCCTGAGGTTGACCTGCAAACTGTAGAGTTCCTGAGTCCTCTTTTTTCTCTAGTTTCTTCTCTGCCTGCTTTAAATTTGCTGTTATTTTTCTATTAAGATAAAAAACACTGTTTGGATCAGATAGTTTTTCTGTTTGTAAACTGGTGAATTTGTATTTATTTCATGGCTAAATTTCTTTTTTTCTTTTCTTTCTCTTTTTTTTTTTTCTTTTTTTTTTTTTGAGGCAGAGTTTCACTCTTGTTGCCCAGGCTGGAGTGCAATGGCGTGATCTTGGGTCACCACAGTCTCCTCTTCCCTGGTTCAAGTGATTCTCTTGCCTCAGCCTCCCGAGTAGCTGGGATTACAGGCATGCACCACCATGCCTGGCTAATTTTTTGTATTTTTAGTAGAGATGGGGTTTCTCCATGTTCGTCAGGCTGGTCTCCAACTCCTGACCTCAGGTGATCTGCCCGCCTCGGCCTCCCAAGGTGCTGGGATTACAGGCGTGAGTCACCGCGCCCAGCTTTCATGGCTAAATTTCTGAAGTAAAAGCTATAGGATCTTTGTGTGTGTGTATATATTTAAAAGGCCTTTATAATTTCTATAATTTTATGTTTAATTGGCAATTAAATCTGTTTTAATTTCCCTCCAGCACACCAGACTTTTTCTCTCCATACGTTATGATGTAAATTTTGCTATTCGATTTTCACCTCAGTTTCCTTAAAATGCAAATTCAAGGCTATTTAGCTGACAACCGCTTAGAGTAGTAAAACAGGTTATCAAGAATTCGAAGGTGTGGCTGGGCACGGTGGCTCACGTCTGTAATCCTAGCATTTGGGAGGCTGAGCCGCAAAGATCTCTTGAGGTCAGGAGTTCAAAACCATCTTGGCCAACATGTTGAAACCCCGTCTCTACTAAAAATACAAAAAAAATTAGCCAGATGTGGTGGCAGGTGCCTATAATCCCAGCTACTCAGGAAGCTGAGGCAGGAGAATCACTTGAAGCCAGGAGGCAGAGTTTGCAGTGAGTCGAGATCAAGCCATTGCACTCCAGCCTGGGCAACAGAGTGAGACTCTGTCTCAAAAAAAAAAAAAAAAAAAGTAAAAAAGAATTTGAAGGTGTAAGAAAAAAGCTCTTTATGAATCTATAAGATGAACTTCTTTCAGCATACCTAATACATCTGTGTATTTATGTGTTGTTGTGTACACAGTGTTTTGCTACTGAAAATATATAAAAGAGCTCTAATTAATTGGCTTAAGAAAATAAAAGCACTTGGCTGGGTGCAGTGGCTCATGCCTGTACTCCCAGCACTTTGGGAGGCTGAGGTAGGTAGATCACCTGAGGTCAGGAGTTTGAGACTAGCCTGGCCAACATGGTGAAACCCCATCTCTACTAAAAATACAAAAATTAGCCCGACGTGGTGGTGCGCGCCTATAATCCCAGCTACTCCAGAGGCTGAGGCAGGAGAATTGTTGGATCCCGGGAGGAAGAGGTTTCATTGAGCTGAGATCTCATTACTGTACACTCCAGCCTGGGTGACAGAGCAAGACTCCATCTCAAAAAAAAAAAAAGAAGCTAGTGATTCCATATCTTCAAATCAAATTTCAGTGGAGTGTTTACCGGGCAAGGAAGGCAGGGGGGTCAGCTTGCTGACAGCCTCAACCTGCCAGCCCTCAGCCTGCACATTTGTGATCACCTGGTCACACACCTGGGCAGGAGGCTGCCCCTCCTCCCTGGTTTGAGGAAGCAGGAAAAGGTACCCGCGAGAGACAGCCAGCAGTTCTGTGGAGCAGCGGTGGCCGGCTAGGATGGGCTGTCTCTGGGGTCTGGCTCTGCCCCTTTTCTTCTTCTGCTGGGAGGTTGGGGTCTCTGGGAGCTCTGCAGGTAAGGAGGCCTAGAAGGGCCTGGTGGGCCTCTCCCCTAGTAGGGCTCTGGGAGTGAATTTCAGTATGAGCCACCCTTCATGGGCAAGGGCAGGCTCTCTCGGGTTGATTATAATGAACCACAGTGCTACTTGTGAAGTGCTATTATTGTTGATAAAGAGTGTGCAAATGACAGTGTGAGTGTAAGCGTGCATGGCGCTGCAGTACACACTAATCAACCATGACGATGTGTGTGAGTGTAAGCGTGCCTGGCGCTGCAGTACACGCTAATCAACCATGACGCTGCCATCGTAAGGGATGGCTGAGAGTTTGTCTTTATGAACGTGGGACAGTAAGTGGGGCACGGAGCGGGGGTGCAGGGAGGTGCCAGCTGGTGATCATTGTGCAGAAAGCTGAAGAATGTGGCTTAACAAGATTCTGACTCCTCCCAGTTTATTACCTAGCATGGATTTCCTTCAAAATACAGATTTCGTGTGAAAAGTCCAACTGCCACAAACTGCTTGGGAAGGGTGGATGCTGACAGGCAGGGCTTTTGTGAAAGACGGGAATGAACCCTGACCTGTCGCTAATAGGAGTTGTGCCAAACTCATCACATACATTAAAAAATAGAAAAGGATTTATTTTTTTTTTAGTTCTATGCTCCCTCTAAACCTCGAGTGGAGAGGCCGGGCGTGGTGGCTCACACCTGTAATCCCAGCATTTTGGGAGGCTGAGGTGGGTGGATCACCTGAGGTCAGGAGTTCGAGACCAGCCTGACCAACATGGAGAAACCCCGTCTCTACTAAAAATACAAAATTAGCCGGGGGTGGTAGCAGGTGCCTGTAATCCCAGCTACTCGGGAGGCTGAGGCAGGAGAATTGCTTGAACCTGGGAGGTGGAGTTTGCAGTGAGCTGAGATCGCACCCTTGCGCTCTGGCCTGGGCAACAAAAGTGAAACTATGTTTCAAAAAAAAAAAAGCTGCAGTGGAGAGTCTGGAGTTCCCATCCCCACCACTCACAGCCTCCCCCATCATCAGCGTCCCCCACCAGAGTGGCACATTTGATAGGACTGAGGAACCTACTTTGATGCATCATTATCATACATTGTATTTTTAATCCTCACAACGGCCCTGCAAGATCGGCCCTGTTTTTACCACCCCCCACCTCCACTGCTTTAAGGGTGAGGCCACTGTGCTTCTGGGCATCCAGTAACAACTCCTCGGAGCCAGAATCTGACTCCTCACAGGCCTGAGCACTGCACCCCGTGGCCTCCTGCCTGTGCTCACCGTGGCCTGGTCTGCGCTGCACGTGTCCCGTTAGCTCCACCTTACAGGTGCGGAAATGCAGGCTTGGAGCTGAGAGACTTGGCCAGGGTCACAGGGCAGAGAGCAGATTCTCCAACTCAGGGTCCCAAGTCCACACGCTTTCCTCTCCACCAGATTTGAAGATTGTACCAGGAGAGCCGCAGTGTTCCAGAGCTACTGAGGGGCTGGGCTGGGATTTGCTGTATTCGAGAAGACCCCCTTGGACCCGAGAGGCTGTGGGCTTGGGGAGCATGAGGAGGTTTCACAGCAGAAAGGACACCCCGGGGCTCCTGGATAAGCCAGAAAATGTGCCAGGGGAAGTCGGGCTCCAAGGGCACCACTCTGGGCTTCCAGCTGTGTGGGCTGGACCAAGAAGGCTCAAAGAAATGATCTCAGGCTTGAAGTGGGGAGAAGAAACTGTATTATGAAGGCAGACGAACAGTTCCTGCAAAAGTGAGATTTGTGTGTGCAGCTGGGCCGCACTGGACCAGGGATGAGAGTGGGTGCCCGGGACTCGCCTATACTGCCTGGGGGTGCAGCCCGCACTCCTCACTATAGTCAGATCAACTATGCGTGCTTTCCAGTGGCCTGGGAGAGGACTCCATAGGGAGGGATGCTTACCTTGTGGGCTTTGGAATATAAGCCCTTTCACCTTCTCCGCTGGTCCTCATCACGTTGGCAAGGCAGGTATTGTGACCCTGTTTTCTCAGGTGAGGACATGGAGGCTGGGAGGGGTCTAGAGACTGGCCTGGCTAGTAGGAGGCTGAGTCAGGATTTGAACCAGCAGATCATCTGACCCCGGAGCCAGTCGTGGGCGGCACAGCGGGAGCTGCAACCGAGGCTCTTGACTCCTGCGTCGTCATTCCCTGAGGTCCACAGGACAACCAGTTGGGGACCTGGGGCCCCATCCTGATGCCCTGGGGAGAGGTGCTAGGCCCCTTTTGGGTCTATGGGCTACTTTTGGGCCAGTGGAGCTGGGTAAAGACCATCTCAAACCCTGTGCCAGGGGAGGTCAGACTCCAAGAGCGCCACCTTTGGGCTTCCAGCTGTGTAGGCTGGACCAAGAAGGCTCAGAGAATTAGGGGGTTCGTATTTGATCCTTTTCCTTCCAAGACTGGGATTACCAGATAAAACACAGGGCATCCAGTTACATTTGAATTTCAGGTAACAATTTTTTTTAAGTGTAAGTATGTAGCCAATATTGCATGAGAAATACTCATGCTAAAAAGTTATTCGTCGTTTATCTGAAATGCAAGTTCAAATTTAACCGAGTACCCTGTATTTTTATTTGCTAAATCTAGAAACCCTCTCCAAGAGGCTCCTTGGCCCACTCACAGGGAGAGCCCGATCTCCCTCTAGACAGGGGAGGCCCCCTTTCTCAGGCCAGAAAAGATCTTGTAGTAAACTACTCAAGAGGCTGAGGCAGGAGGATCGCTTGAGCCCAGGAATTCAAGACCTGCCTGGGCAACAGAGCAAGACCCTGTCTCTAGGGAAGATATCCTACCGTAGCCTCCCTCGGGGACTCCCATTCCTCCCACCTCAGGGCCAGTCAAGGGAACAGGCCTCTGCTCTGGGCAGAAGTGCTGGCAGCCGCTCTCTGAAAAGCTAGGTGTTGCCTCAGGGTCTCCCGGTGTCCTGTGGAAAATGCCTGGCCACGGTTTCCATGGTTCCCAGGCTCCAACCCTGCAGTTCTCAGCCCTCATTCAGGAGGGGCCTCGGCAGGGTGGGGGGTGCCGTCTTTCCCTTGCTGGAGCCCCAAGGACTCTGCCGGCTCCCTCGCTTTGGCAGCAGCACTGCCCACCCTGTCTCTGGAGGTTCCCCCGCCTCAATCCACCCAGCTACCCCGAAAGGCACAATCATAGGCCTTTCTCGTCTTTTAAGGGTTTTTACTTCCATGGGGAACTATGTGTTGGATGAGAAAAGTATCCGGGGAAGGGGACAGAGGTTCAGAAAGCTCTGCGAGTCCTGGACGCTGGTCTGCCTTCTTGGCTCACCCTGGAAGGTGGACGCTGGCCCCACACATCCCCTCTTAAAGACGCAGGCCGATAGCCAGCAGATCCTGGGGCTTGCTGGCCCCAAGTGAGTTGTCAGGGTTTCAGAGGACACCAGTCATGGCAACCCCAGCTCCATGGCTGCCACACAGGCCTGGGCTTCCCAGGACTGCCTCCTTCTTGTTCGCTTATGTAGATGAAAAATGAGGTAACGGCACTCCCCTGCCCCACCCTCCTCCCAGAAGTGCCCAGGGTGTAAACGCAATAGCTTGTGTGAAGTCCACTGGAACCCAGGCTCACCAAGTCAGTCTTAACCAACACAGGCCCCAGCACCCGCAGAGCAGACACTGCGATGACAACGGACGACACAGAAGTGCCCGCTATGACTCTAGCACCGGGCCACGCCGCTCTGGAAACTCAAACGCTGAGCGCTGAGACCTCTTCTAGGGCCTCAACCCCAGCCGGCCCCATTCCAGAAGCAGAGACCAGGGGAGCCAAGAGAATTTCCCCTGCAAGAGAGACCAGGAGTTTCACAAAAACATCTCCCAACTTCATGGTGCTGATCGCCACCTCCGTGGAGACATCAGCCGCCAGTGGCAGCCCCGAGGGAGCTGGAATGACCACAGTTCAGACCATCACAGGCAGTGATCCCAGGGAAGCCATCTTTGACACCCTTTGCACCGATGACAGCTCTGAAGAGGCAAAGACACTCACAATGGACATATTGACATTGGCTCACACCTCCACAGAAGCTAAGGGCCTGTCCTCAGAGAGCAGCGCCTCTTCCGACAGCCCCCATCCAGTCATCACCCCGTCACGGGCCTCAGAGAGCAGCGCCTCTTCCGACGGCCCCCATCCAGTCATCACCCCGTCACGGGCCTCAGAGAGCAGCGCCTCTTCCGACGGCCCCCATCCAGTCATCACCCCGTCACGGGCCTCAGAGAGCAGCGCCTCTTCCGACGGCCCCCATCCAGTCATCACCCCGTCACGGGCCTCAGAGAGCAGCGCCTCTTCCGACGGCCCCCATCCAGTCATCACCCCGTCACGGGCCTCAGAGAGCAGCGCCTCTTCCGACGGCCCCCATCCAGTCATCACCCCGTCACGGGCCTCAGAGAGCAGCGCCTCTTCCGACGGCCCCCATCCAGTCATCACCCCGTCACGGGCCTCAGAGAGCAGCGCCTCTTCCGACGGCCCCCATCCAGTCATCACCCCGTCACGGGCCTCAGAGAGCAGCGCCTCTTCCGACGGCCCCCATCCAGTCATCACCCCGTCACGGGCCTCAGAGAGCAGCGCCTCTTCCGACGGCCTCCATCCAGTCATCACCCCGTCACGGGCCTCAGAGAGCAGCGCCTCTTCCGACGGCCCCCATCCAGTCATCACCCCGTCACGGGCCTCAGAGAGCAGCGCCTCTTCCGACGGCCCCCATCCAGTCATCACCCCCTCATGGTCCCCGGGATCTGACGTCACTCTCCTCGCTGAAGCCCTGGTGACTGTCACAAACATCGAGGTTATTAATTGCAGCATCACAGAAATAGAAACAACGACTTCCAGCATCCCTGGGGCCTCAGACACAGATCTCATCCCCACGGAAGGGGTGAAGGCCTCGTCCACCTCCGATCCACCAGCTCTGCCTGACTCCACTGAAGCAAAACCACACATCACTGAGGTCACAGCCTCTGCCGAGACCCTGTCCACAGCCGGCACCACAGAGTCAGCTGCACCTGATGCCACGGTTGGGACCCCACTCCCCACTAACAGCGCCACAGAAAGAGAAGTGACAGCACCCGGGGCCACGACCCTCAGTGGAGCTCTGGTCACAGTTAGCAGGAATCCCCTTGAAGAAACCTCAGCCCTCTCTGTTGAGACACCAAGTTACGTCAAAGTCTCAGGAGCAGCTCCGGTCTCCATAGAGGCTGGGTCAGCAGTGGGCAAAACAACTTCCTTTGCTGGGAGCTCTGCTTCCTCCTACAGCCCCTCGGAAGCCGCCCTCAAGAACTTCACCCCTTCAGAGACACCGACCATGGACATCGCAACCAAGGGGCCCTTCCCCACCAGCAGGGACCCTCTTCCTTCTGTCCCTCCGACTACAACCAACAGCAGCCGAGGGACGAACAGCACCTTAGCCAAGATCACAACCTCAGCGAAGACCACGATGAAGCCCCCAACAGCCACGCCCACGACTGCCCGGACGAGGCCGACCACAGACGTGAGTGCAGGTAAGTGGCTCCTGCTGGTGATCTTCGGGGATTTGGGATGCGGAGTTTCCAGGACGTCTCCGCACTTGAGGAGTGGAGAGGAGGGAAGGATCTGGAGCCTACTCAGAGCCTGCTCCTGATGTTGCCTCTTCGTGATCTTCTAGTGGTTCTTGGCGAAATCAGGAAAAGGCAGATGGAGGGTTGTGTATGGAAAGGGGTGGGGATGGAAGTCCGGAGAAATGGTTTGCGGTCTCGGCTCTGCCTGTAACAACCCGAGTGACCTTGGGCAAGTCCCTGTCCCTCTCTGGGCCTCAGTTTCTCCACCTGTATTTGGAGAGGGTTGGAATGGGCACTGAAGTCCTGTCCAGCTCTGACCTTCTGTGAAGTGCACTGTTGAGCAGCTCTGGAAGCTTCTATTCCAGCCATAGCCACACAGAGGAGCAGCAGGCAGGCATCAGGCCCAAGCTGCTGCTCTCTGACAGGCTGGGACCCCATGAAAGTGGGGCCTGCTGGATGCATTTCCTGGGATTTATGCCATAGATAGTGACTTAAAATAAATTAATACAGGCCTGGAGCGGTGGCTTATGCCTGTAATCCCAGCACTTTGGGAGGCAGAGGCCGGCGGATCACCTGAGGTCAGGAGTTCGAGACCAGGCTGACCAACATGGTGAAACCCCATCTCTACTAAAAATATGAAAATTAGCTGGGCGCAGTGGTGGGCGCCTGTAATCCCAGCTACTTGGGAGACTGAGGCAGGAGAATCACTTGAACCCGGGAGGTGGAGGTTACAGTGAGCTGAGACGGAGTGAAACTCCGTCTCAAAAAAAAAAGGTAAGATAAAATAAGCAAATACAGCGAAGGCTTGGGAGTTTAAAGCTACATCTCTGAGGCAACAGGGACTTCTCAGGGGAGAAGTTCATTGTCAGAGGCTGCTTGGTCAGTCCAGCTTCTGGTCAGCCTGTAGCCTCCACCTCCACTTCCTGTCACTCTGCCCTTGGGCCTCATCTCTGTGTATCCGCAGCTTGTTACCACCTTTCTGGGGGAGGTGGGAATACAAATATTAATCACAACCACTCAATACATAAAGATATTATTGAATATCTTTCATGTTATAGGCAGGGGTGATATAAACATGTTTCACACCCAGTAAGCACTGGCCCCAGCAGAACGTTCTCTCCGGTGCCAGGCAGTGTGCCACCAGCTTTGCATATGTTATCTGATGCCAGGCAGTGTGCCACCGGCTTTGTATATGTTATCTGATGCCAGGCAGTGTGCCACCGGCTTTGCATATGTTATCTGATGCCAGGCAGTGTACCACCAGCTTTGCATATGTTATCTGATGCCAGGCAGTGTACCACCGGCTTTGCATATGTTATCTGATGCCAGGCAGTGTGCCACCAGCTTTGCATATGTTATGATGCCAGGCAGTGTGCCACCAGCTTTGCATATGTTATCTCCTCTATTTAACCTTCAAAACAGCCTTAGGAGGTGGGTAACACGACCCCATCTGACAGGGTTAAAGATGGTAGCTAAACTGCTCTGGAAAGTGAAGGGGTGGCCTGCCCCTCCACACCTGTGGGTATTTCTAGTCGGGTGGGATGAGAGACTGAGAAAAGAAATAAGGCACAGAGACAAAGTATAGAGAAACAACAGTGGGCCCAGGGGACCGTCGCTCAGCATACCAAGGACCTGCACCGGCACCAGTCTCTGAGTTTTCTCAGTTTTTATTGATTATTATTTTCATTATTTTAGCAAAAAGGAATGTAGTAGGAGAGCAGGGTGATAATAAGGAGAAGGTCAGCAAGAAACATGTGAGCAAAAGAATCTGTGTCATAATTAAGTTCAAGGGAAGATACTATGCCTGGATGTGCACGTAGGCCAGATTTATGTTTCTCTCCACCCAAACATCTCAGCAGAGTAAAGAATAATAAAGCAGCATTGCTGCAAACATGTCTCACCTCCCGCCACAGGGTGGTTTTTCTCCTGTCTCAGAATTGAACAAATGTACAATCGGGTTTTATACTGAGACATTCAGTTCCCAGGGGCAGGCAGGAGACAGTGGCCTTCCTCTATCTCAACTGCAAGAGGAGATCCTCTTTTACTAATCCACCTCAGCACAGACCCTTTACGGGTGTCAGCCTGGGGGACGGTCAGGTCTTTGTCATCCCACAAGGCCATATTTCAGACTATACATGGGGAGAAAGCTTGGACAATAACCTGCTTTCAAGGGCAGAGGTCCCTGCGGCTTTCCACAGTGCATTGTGCCCCTGGTTTATTGAGACTAGAGAATGGCGATGACTTCTACCAAGTATACTGCTTGTAAACATTTTGTTAACAAGGCACGTCCTGCACAGCCCTAGATCCCTTAAACCTTGATTTTATACAACACATGTTTTTATGAGCTCAAGGTTGGGGCAAAGTTACAAATTAACAACATCTCAGCAAAGCTTGTTTAAAGTACAGGTCTTTTTCAAAATGGAGTCTCATGTCTTTCCTTTCTACAGAGACACAGTGACAGTCTGATCGCTCCTTCTTTTCCCTGGAAAGAAAAATACTTTATTATTTGTTGATTAGATAAGACATTCATATGATTTGAAATGGAAAGGTACGAAAAGGTTCACCATAAAATGCCTTTCTCCCCTGGCTGTGCCCCCACCCAGTTCTCTCCACACATGTAACCCGTGAGATTGTCTCTTGTGTGTAATTTTCTGCACATGAAATGTACATACGGAAGCAAATATATGTGACTATTTCATCCTCCTCTTTTTTTTTTTTTTTTTTTTTGAGACAGTTTCGCTCTTGTTGCCCAGGTTGGAGTGTAGTGCTGCGATCTCAGATCACCACAACCTCCGCCTCCCAGGTTCAGGCGATTCTCCTGCCTCAGCCTCCTGAGTAGCTGGGATTACAGGCACGCACCACCATGCCCGGCTCATTTTGTGTTTTTAGTAAAGACGGGATTTCTCCATGTTGGTCAGGCTGGTCTCAAACTCCCGATCTCAGGTGATCCACCTGCCTCTGCCTCCCAAAGTGCTGGGATGACAGGTGTGAGCCACTGCGCCCAGCCCTGATTTTCATCTTACTGTTCTCCATTTGCAGGTGAAAATGGAGGTTTCCTCCTCCTGCGGCTGAGTGTGGCTTCCCCGGAAGACCTCACTGACCCCAGAGTGGCAGAAAGGCTGATGCAGCAGGTGAGTGGGCACTTTCCGGGCCAGGGGAGTAGAGGAAGGGGCGAGGTTCGCAGGGGCTGCAGGGAAGACCCGCAGGACACAGAAGAGCAGCTACCGCGCTTGGAAGGGAGTCTCGTTTCTTACGGAGAATTGGGAGCTGAATCTGAGGATCTCTGCCTGGCTTTGCTTCTGCCTGCCTTCTCCGAGTTCTTCATTTCCTTCTCTGCAATGTAAACATGTGACTCCTAGAGCCCCCAGTTTCTTCTGGTCCTTGGAAGCTTGGCCTTCTGGCCTCTGAGGCAAAGGTCAGTGATACTGATGGGAGGGTAGGTCGGACTCTTGGTTGCAAGTGGCAGAAACCCAAGTCAGGGCAGTTTATGCAAAAAAAAAAAAAAAAAAAAAAAGGCAAGGTCTGAGAAACCTACAAGTGTCTCTTCAGCTTCAGTACGGCTGGATCCAGCAGCTCCAGCGCCATCACAGGGACTTTCTCTTTCTTTCCCTGTCTTAGCTTTACTCCCTTCATTCTTCAGAGTCTTTCTTCATGTGTATGAAAAGGCAGCCTTGTTAGCCATAGATTCACAAGGGACTTCCATCTCCCCACATTTTCTTTTCTTTTTTCTTTTTCTTTCTTTCTTTTTGTTTTTTGAGACGAAGTCTCGCTCTGTCGCCCAGGCTGGAGTGCAGTGGTGCGATCTCAGCTCACTGCAAGCTCCGCCTCCTGGGTTCACGCCATTCTCCTGCCTCAGCCTCCCAAGTAGCTGGGACTACAGGCGCCCGCCACCACGCCCAACTAATTTTTATGTTTTTTTTTTTAGTAGAGACGGGGTTTCACCGTGTTAGCCAGAATAGTCTCAATCTCCTGACCTCGTGATCCACCCGTCTTGGCCTCCCAAAGTGCTGGGATTACAGACATGAGCCACCGCACCCGGCCCCCTCTCCCCAAATTTTCATGTCATCTGGGGAAGTGCAGGTCTCCATGGCCTGCAAGGGTCACCATGACTGACAACCCAGTCAGGATCCCATAGAGGAAGGATGAGCCCCAAGAAAATAGGGAGGCTAGGCAGAAAAAACCGCAGAGATGTATACTCTAGATGAGGACCATGATTGGGATGTATTTGTACAAGTTGGGAAAATTCTCCTAAAACCCACTGGATAGAACTTCCAATGGTAAAGTTCCGGGGTCAGGGTTTTGAGGATGGGGATGGTGTGGCTTGTTGGAGGTTAGACTGGGTCAGCTCAGTGCAGATGTCACGGGCCTGGCCTCACTGAGGGGTGGGTTGTTCTCCTAATGTGTGGTACAAAGTAGCAGATGGGGCATGATGGGAAGTGTCTAAGCTCTGCTCACAGATGTAACCGTGAAAACAGGCCCAGTGCACAGTCTAATGTGGATTGCCTCTTTGACAGTGCCCTTGCTAATACCTGAAGCTTGCATTCAGCACCTCTCACAGTCAATGGGACAGTGCCCTTGCTAATACCTGAAGCTTGCATTCAGCACCTCTCACAGTCAATGGGTGCCACACTGCTGAAAAGTGGCTCAGGCTTCCTGTCATCCCTTGCAAGGGTAAACCTGGCAGAGATGCTGGCTGGGGGTCTTATGCCAGGTGTAGAGTTCATAGCCAGGCTGGACAGGTGGAATGATTGCCCTTAGCAGAGGGAAGCAAGATATGTCCGTGGAGAGTGGGATCCTTTGTTGCAGGCGAAAGAAAACCTCTGTCTGTCGTAAGTAAAAGGGGGATTTGTTGGCAGCGTCCCAGAGTGCATAGAATCAAAGCAATGCCAGGACAGCAGGCTTGGAAAATAGGCAGGAGGGCCCCCAGGAGCTCTGAGGTCCAGACAGTGGGATCAGGCTGGCTGGGACACTGTCCCTCTTGCTGGTCAGTCACTATTGGATGCTGCCACAGCCAAGGGGCATCACGTGGCCTGCACACACATTCACATAGGTTCTCGCTGCCTTTTTGTCTCACTGGACTTTTTGCTCCAGAGCCAAAGTCCTGAGTAGGAACATTTGATAGGCTGAGCTTAGCCCTTGTACTCCCATGAGCCCACAGCCAGGTGCCAGGGGACGGGAAGAAGGGATGTCTGTGTCCTTGGAGTTCTCTTAGCAGCAGTGAGGCCAATCGTGACTCCCACTGTGAGGAGTTCCCTAAACATGGCACGGGGGCTCGACACCCGATGGCCAAATAAGTGACAAATGCCCCCGGCATGTGATAATCAAAGTAGCGAGTGTGAATCCTTGTGGGAGAGGGAAGCCAATTGCTTTTGTTTTGTTTTGTTTTGTTTTGTTTTGTTTTGTTTTGTTTTCTGAGACTGAGTCTCACTCTGTCATCCAAGCTGGAGTGCAGTGGTGCGATCTTGGCTCACCACAACCTCCGCCTCCCAGGTTCAAGCCATTCTCCTGCCTCAACCTTCTGAGTAGCTGGGATTACAGGCCCGCACCACCATACCTGGCTAATTTTTGTATTTTTAGTAGAGATGGAGTTTCAGGTTTCAGCATCTTGGCCAGGCTAGTCTTGAACTCTTGACCTCATGATCCACCCACCTCAGCCTCCCAAAGTGCTGGGATTACAGGCGTTGAGTCATTGCGTCCGGCTGGGAAGCCAGTTTTCTTTTTCTTTTTCTTTTTCTTTCTCTTTTTCTTTTCTTTTCTTTTATTTTTCTTGAGACAGATTCTCGCTCTGTCGTCCAGGCTGGAGTGCAATGGCACGATCTCGGCTCACTGCAACCTCCACCTCCCGGATTCAAGCAATTCTCCTGCCTCAACCTCCCTAGTAGCTGGGATTACAGGTGCACACTACCACTCCTGGCTAATTTTTGTATTTTTAGTAGAGATGGGGTTTCTCCATGTTGGTCAGGCTGGTCTCGAACTCCTGACCTCAGGTGACCCACCTGCCTCTGCTTCCCAAAGCACTGGGATTATTGGCGTGAGCCACCGCACCCGGCCGGGAAGCCAGTTTTGAATCTCAGGTCTAAGCCCCCAAACCAGAAATGATTTCAGGAATCGGAAAGAAACCGCGAGATCAGGAGCAGGTCAAGCAGCTGAGGCGCAGGCACCAGGCCACATGGGGTTGGGCATCAGTTCTCGTCCGGGGACAGCCCAACAGTTTGGGCTCGGGGATTAGACAATGAGCTTAGGAACCAGCTAGATCTGGGTGTGAATTCTAGTTCCCAACTGTGTGATCTTGGATAAGTTATTCTATGCGACTTTCATCCCTTATAAAATGAGGATCCTAACACCTGCTTTATAAGGTTGCTGTGAGGTTTAGATGACATAATGTGTGTGAGGCACCAGCCTGTGTCCAGCATGTAGGAGGCCCAGGAAGGGTTGCCGTCCTCCGCATGCACTCTGCCCCAGTGTCCCTTCCTGTCCTCTGCCTCTGGCGAGCTCATGGGCCAGATGGGCTGAAAGGACAGCTGGCTCTTTTGCTCTCCAGCTCCACCGGGAACTCCACGCCCACGCGCCTCACTTCCAGGTCTCCTTACTGCGTGTCAGGAGAGGCTAACGGACATCAGCTGCAGCCAGGCATGTCCCGTATGCCAAAAGAGGGTGCTGCCCCTAGCCTGGGCCCCCACCGACAGACTGCAGCTGCGTTACTGTGCTGAGAGGTACCCAGAAGGTTCCCATGAAGGGCAGCATGTCCAAGCCCCTGACCCCAGATGTGGCAACAGGACCCTCGCTCACATCCACCGGAGTGTATGTGTGGGGAGGGGCTTCACCTGTTCCCAGAGGTGTCCTTGGACTCACCTTGGCACATGTTCTGTGTTTCAGTAAAGAGAGACCTGATCACCCATCTGTGTGCTTCCATCCTGCATTAAAATTCACTCAGTGTGGCCCAGAGGCTGTCTATTGATCTGCATGCTTTCGCCATTTTTATAGTACAGGGATTGTGTATAGTCTCACTGCTACCTCCTCCTTCTACTCCCCCAGGTCTTGGTTTGGACTTTGATGATAGCATTTACTGAGACGGGCCTGGAGCCTGTCGAACAGCCCGCTGCAGCAGGGCAGGGACCACCTTTGTTCATCTCAGTATCCCCTGAACTAGCAGAGTGTCTGGCCTGCAGTGGGATCGCAGAGAATGTGGAATTGACCTAAATTTAAATTTCAAGTTCTGGACACAAGCCTCAATTATTCCTCTTATATGTTATAACTTACATGCTATTATTTTTTTAAAAAATTAATATGGTTTACTTTTTATTATAAAAGTAAAACTTGGCCAGGCTCAGTGGCTCACGCCTGTAATCCCAGCACTTTGGGAGGCCGAGGCCGGTGGATCACGAGGTCAGGAGTTTGAGACTAGCCTGGCCAACATGGTGAAACCCCGTCTCTACTAAAAACACGAAAATTAGCTGGGTGTGGTGGCAGGTGCCTGTAATCCCAGCTACCCAGGAGGCTGAGACGGGAGAATCACTTGAACCCGGGAGGCAGAGGTTGCAGTGACCCAAGATCCTACCACTGCACCCCAGCCTGGGCAAAAGGGCAAGACTCTGTCTCATAAATAAATAAATTTAAAATAAAAGTAAAACTTGTTTATGATTTCAAAATTTTGAAATATTCCAAAGACCAAGCAAAGTAAGAAGTGGGAAGAGGAGAAAGAAAAACTTTTCTATAATCCCACCTCTTAGATACAACGATTTATTTTTTAAAATTGAGACAGGGTCTCACTCTCACCCAAACTGCAGTGCAGTGGTGCGACCATGGCTCACTGCAGCCTCCACCTCCCAGCTCCAGTGATCCTCCCACCTCAGCCTCCTGAGGAGCTGGGACCACAGCTGGCTAATTTTTGTACTTTGTTTTGTAAAAAAGGGGCTTTACCATGTTGAGCAGGTTGGTCTCGATCTTCTGAGCTCAAGCAGTCCTCCTGCCTCAGACTCGCAAAGTGCTGGGATTACAGACATGAGCCACTGTGCCCAGCCTTATATACAGCTATTATTATTAATGTATACTGTGTATTCATTTCAATTCTTAATCTCTCCACTTGGATGTTGATGAAATACATACCTCACATTCAACATTTCTTTCTTTTTTTTTTTCTTTTTGAGATGGAAAGGAGCCTGGCTCTGTCACCCAGGCTGGAGTGCAGTGGCGTGATCTCAGCTCACTGCAAGCTCCACCTCTTGGGTTCACGTGATTCTCCTGCCTCAGCCTCCTGAGTATCTGGGACTACAGGTGCCACCACCATGCTCGGCTAATTTTTTGAATTTTTAGTAGAGACGGAGTTTCACCGTGTCAGCCAGCCTGGTCTCAAACTCCTGACCTCAAGTGATCCACCCACCTCGGCCTCCCAAAGTGCTGGGATTCCAGTTAATGAGCACTGCTCCTGGCCTCCACATTTCTAAAATCGAAGTTCTGATCTTTTCCTCTGGACCTGCCCCACCTGCATCTTCCCCATCTCAGTTAACGTCAGTTGCATCCTTCAGGTGCTCAGGCCGAAATCCTCGGCACCGTCTTTATTCCCCTCTCACATTTTGCACCAGGAAATTCTGCTGGCTCTAAGGCCATCAAACTGTGCCCAGAATGTGGCCCCTCCTCAGCATCTCCAGTGCTACCACCGAGATGGTCCACGATGCCATCATCTCTCACCTGCACTACTACAGGTCTCCCTGTTTCCAGCTCAGCCCCCACCCCAGTCTAGTCCCAGTGTGTCAGCCAGGGCTGTCTTTTTACAACATAAGGCAGACCACACCACTTCTTTGCTCCAATCCTCCCATTTCACTCAGAAGAAAAGCTCCGACAACAGCTGCAAAGCCGTGCACGACCTGCGCCCCTCCCCTGCCTCCTTAATTTGCTGACTGCACCGCAGCCACACGGACGTCTTTCTTGTCCCTTGAATGCGCTGGGCCTGCTCTTGCCTTGGGACCTTTCTGTGCATTGCTTAGTCTGCTCAGAAGCCTTCTCCTCTACATATCCACTTGTCTAAACCCTCTACCTCCACCTTCATGCCCCTTCTCAGCGAGGTCTACCATGACCATGCTGCCTACAAATTCAGTCTCCCCTTCTGTACTTTGACGTACTTTATAGTGCTGATCACAATTGAACGTCATACATATTTTGTTTTCTTTATTATCTGAGTCCTCCAACTAGAATGAAAGATTTTGCCCATTATGGTTTCCCTAGTGCCAAGAACAGTACCTGGCACATACCAGGGGCTCAGTAAACATTTGTTAGATGAATGAAGGAAACAAGGAGACAATGTTGATGCTGCTGTGAGCAAGGGGAGTCTGAACGTTTGACAGATCCCTTCCATTTCTGGAGTGGGGCAGAATGAGTTTCATAAAGTAGCTCGGACAAAAATAATTCGCTCATCTTGGCATATATGTTGGGCAGCTGCCGCAGAAGAGAGACTGAGCTATGTGCCGTGGAGGATTCAAATCTGTCTCTTCTCCCAGGGATTGAAGTTAGACACGTACAGCAATAATAAGTTGAAAGAACTTATTTACACCGCATATAGCAACAACAGGATGCCCTTAATATATAGAGAACTCTTACAGCGCAAGAAAATAAAAAGGCAAACATACCAGTAGAAAAATGGGTAAATGGCAACAGGTAATTCACAAAAGAAGAAATACAAATGTCCTCTCCTCCCGCCACCACCCCCCATGAAAAAGAACGTGTGACTTCAGTAGCAAAAACAGGTCCATTAATACAGTGAGATATTGCTTATTGTATGTCTGTACTGATCTATACTGGGTGCTGGGCAAACGGGCATTCTTAAACACTCCTAGTAGGGAAGAAATTGGTACAACCTTTCCGGAGGACAATTTAACTGATTTATTTAAAGCCCGAAAAATGTACATACCTTTAACTCAGCAGTTTCGTTACTGATTTATCTTAAGGAAGTAATTTAGAATCTGTGCCTAACTGTTTACAATAACTCATAGATGAAAAAGGCAAAACAAAACACAAGTAACCTCAAATCTCCCCATGTAACAGTTTGCTTAAACACTATAGCGTTATTTTACGCAAGCTACAGAAGCATTGTTGAAACATATATTTATTAGGACAGAAAAAAATTCATGAAATGTTATTTTATCTTCTTTTTTCTTAAAATGGAACTTAAAAAAAATTTTTTTAACTCCAACCTACCTTTTACACCATCTGCAGAGCTTTCCTCTCCCAAATCAAAGCTACTCCTGTTCCTACCTCCAGGATGGAATCCCCACCTTCGTATGCAAGGGTCTTCATGATATGGCCTCAGCCAACTATCTTAGCTCCAGGTCACGGCCCCATCTTCCATATCCTATGCTGCTTGCACAGGAAGCAGCTCGCTAACCCCAGGCACACCTGCTTTCATCTGGAGCGTCTGCCCATCATGATTCCTCCCCCTGGTCCCTTCACCTGGAAAACTCCTATTCATTCCTCAAAGCCCAGTTCAGATGGCACCTCTCCATGACTTCATCAGATTCCCTACAGAGGTGCTGATTTTCTGGTCTCTTGTGTTTCTGTTGTAACACTTAACATGCTGTATTATAATGTGCTTATTTTATTTACAAGTTTGTTACATTGTACGTGCTCGAGGACAAGCAGCCGGTAGTATTCACCTCTGTCATCACAGAAGCTGGCGTGGAGCCCTCCACATGAGGGCACTGATGTGTTTGCTGAGTGACTGGGACAATGGTGGGCCACGTGAGCCCCGAAACTTTCAGTGGGCTCTGAAAGTTAAGAAAAGGGCATTCAGTACTGAAATCACACAAAACGTAAATTTAATGATATAATTGTTCCGAAGCTGCTCTATAATTTGGCATGAATGGAGAGCAGTTTACAAAAATGACAACACCACTGTTATATAAACCCAATTCTTAAATAGGTTTTCTTCTCTTGCTTTGTATTTCCTCAAGTGGGTGATACTTAATACAGTGGCTCATGTAATCTTAATTACTACATATGAGGACACGGACATGTACATATGATGCTGATTACTGTTATTTTTGGAAGTAAAAAAATTGTAAAATTTGACTAGCTTAAAAAATCTGTAAAATATGGGATACACAAATTAGAGACTGGGTGCGGTGGCTCATGCCTGTAATCCCAGCACTTTGAGAGGCCGAGGCAGGCGGATCACTTGAGGCCAGGAGTTTGAGACCAACCCAGGCAACATGGTGAAATCCTGTCTCTACTAAAAATACACAAATTAGCTGGGCATAGTGGCAGGTGCCTGTAATCCCAACTACTCAAAAGGGTGAGGCAGGAGAATCACTTGAACCTGGGAGGCGGAGGTTGCAGTGAGCTGAGATTGCGTCACTGCACTCCAGCCTGGTGACAGAGCGAGACCGTGTCTCAAAACGTCAACAAGAACAACACAAATTAGAAGCATTTGGGAACTAAAATGTATCATTATGATTGCATGTGGGTGGGTTGGGGGGGGACAATAAAGAGGAAGAGAGACTGTGTGTGTGTGTGTGTGTGTGTGTGCACGCCTGTATTACTGGAGATGACCAAAGTTAGCAGGAGTAATGTTACCAAGCTAACAGGAGCCAGAAGTCCCTGGAGAAAACTCTCCAGCTATTTAAGATTCTAAAGTGTGTGTATATGAGGTAAAAATGCCACGTTTTATAAAGACAAATTTAAGCATGGACCTAAACAAGATGGCCTGTCTAAAGTCACCTGTGACTTGGTGTGAGCTCTGAGACGGCGAAACTCCACAGCAATGATGAAGACAACGTGAGGTGGAACTTCTCTGACCAGAGACCTCATCTGAAGCTTCTGCCACAGCCAGTCCTGCCTTCATCCCTTGAGAGGGGGATTGGCCACCAAAGTATGCAAAGCATTTGAATGGAAACGAATTCCGTGGGTGCGCCCCACACTTTAATAGTGGCCATCATATCACTTTCTGGTGCCAGTAAATGCGTAAAGGGGTGCATCATGCCAGTGACCTATCACTCATCATCCCAGTCATTAAGCCACTTACTTCAGGCCTGTGGGGAGTTTCTGGAAGGCTCCTTTGAAGCAGGGAAGAATGGGCAAGGGAGTCTGTGTCTTTGGCCAAGCTTTGCCCCAGATAGCTCCTTTTGCCACTCTCGAGCCCACTGAAGGTGTCCCAGCTGCTGCCACCAGCAGGGGTCGGGGGTCTGCACCCTTCTCTCTTCCAAGCAAACTCACACCTGGCACCCTGGGGAAGGGTCAGTCAGTTATTTTATTCCAGGGGCCAAAGCGACAGAATCCAGACCACTTGTAGCCAGGGAATGAGCTGACGAAAATGGATGGTTGTGTCCTTGTCCTTCTGACTGTCCCACTCGTGAAGGGGCAGCTCCCTGTCCAGCTAGAGAAGGGTGTCCCCAGGTGCCCTCTCCTTTCTTGGGACGCCTCCTCCTCCCGTGCTGTCAGGGCCTCAGCGGCTTTGACTGGGCTCACCAAGAAAACACAGAACAGCCACTTAAATGAGAACCTCGGATAAACGGTGAACACTTAAAAATATACAAGAATGTTCCAAATAGTTCATGGGATATCTTTAAACTAAAACAATTATTTGTGGTTAATCTGAAATTTAAGCTGGGCTGCTTGTATTTTCATTTGCTAAATTGGACAGCCCTACTTTCATTATTATTATTATTATTATTATTGAGACCCAGTCTCACTCTGTCACCCAGGCTGGAGTGCAGTGGTGCCATCTCGGCTCACTGCAAGCTCCGCCTCCTGGTTTCAAGGGATTCTCCTGTCTCAGCCTCCCAAGTAGCTGGGATTACAGGTGTGCGCCACCACGCCCAGCTAATTTGTTATATTTTTGGTAGAAACAGGGTTTCACCATGTTGGTCAGGCTGGTCTTGAACTCCTGACCTCAGGTGACTTGCCTGCCTCGGCCTCCCAAAGTGCTGGGATTACAGGTGTGAGCCACCACACCTGGCCCAGACAGCCCTACTTTTAATGCATCCTCTCCCACGAGGGTCCCTGGCTCCTCTCTTCCGTCCAATCTGCGGGTCTCCTTCAGGGGTAGCAAGCTCCCAGCCTTCTCCCAGGTATTGGGCCTCTCCTCTGCCTCGGGAGGAGCTGTCCATCAAACACAGGCTCTGTCCTCCCGCTCCCTCCATTGCTTAGTGTGTGAAGGTGGACAGGGGAGGAGGGACCTTGGGTTTGGGGCGGTTCTGCTCCCCACTCGCTGCTTTGCTTTTGCTCTTTCTGGTTTCCTTTCTCCGCAGTTGATGACACAGGGCACCCACAGCGCTCACGTGCCTTCCATGGTGGGGGTGAATCCTTTGCCAATAGTGCCTGGTGGGTTTCAGGTAAGTTGTAACTTTTGGACCTTCTGCTGTCTCTGACTTTGAGTCACATGACAAGGTCCTCATGGAATTGGGATTCTGGCAGCCAGGTGAGGGCGGTCTCACCAGCTCCTTCATGCCTGCAGGCCTCCCCCTTCCTCACAACTGATGGATGGTTGGCTCCCTAGCCGCCCCGTTAGTGCCATGTGTGCTTAATTCTTTTAAAAATTTAAATATATTAATTTTAAAATCATCTTTTAAATAATAAAATTTGCTTTTTAGAGCAGTTTTGGGTTTACAGCAAAATTTTCCTGAGTGGAAAATACAGAAAGTTCCCATATGCCCCCTGCCACACACACATATACCTACGCCCAGCCTCCCCCACCACCAACGCCCTGCACCAGGTGGCACGTGTGACAGTCGATGCGTCCACGTCAACATATCCTCATCAAAGTCCAGAGTTGACAGCACATTTTTGGCGTTGGATATTCTCCATTCTCTATTCAACAACGTATCGGCTGGCCCGGCGCAGTGGCTCATGCCTGTAATCTCAGCACTTTGGGAGGTGGAGGCGGGTGGATCTCTTTGAGATCAGGAGTTCGAGACCAGCCTGGCCAACACGGCGAAAACCCATCTCTACTAAAAATACAAAAATTAGCCGGGTGTGGTGGCGCATGCCTGTAGTCTTAGCTACATGGAAGGCTGAGGCAGGAGAATCGCTTGAACCCGGGAGGTGGAGGTTGCAGTGAGCAGAGATCGCACCACTGCACTCCATTCTGGGCGACAGAGTGAGACTCAATCTCAAAAAATAACATAAATGTTTCTGCCATTGTAGCATCATACAGAAAAATAAGTAGTTTCAGTGCCCTAAAAATCCTCTGTGCTTCACTTATTCATCCCCAACCCCTGGCAACCACTGATCTTTTCACTGTCTCCATAGTTTTACCTTTTCCAGAATGTCATATAATTGCAACCGTAAGGTAAATAGCCTTTTCAGATTGTCTTCTTTCACATAGTATATGCATTTAAGTTTTCTGTATGTATTTTCATGGCTGTGTAATTCATTTCATTTTAGCACTGAATAATATTCCATCGTCTGAATGCACCATAGGTTATTTACCCGTTCACCTGCTGAAGGACATCTTGGTTGCTTCCAAGTTTTGGCAATTATGAATAAAGCTGCTATAAATTATGAATAAAGCTGCTATAAACCTCCATGTGCAGGTTTTCGTGTGGACAAAAACGTTTTCTGTCCCTTTGGGTAAATATCAAGGAGTGTGATTGCTGGACTGCATAGTAAGAGTATGGTTTAGTTTGGTAAGAAAGTGCCAAATTGCGGGCGCCTGTGGTCCCAGCTGCTGAGGAGGCTGAGGCAGGAGAATCGCGTGAACCCGGGAGGCGGAGCTTGCAGTGAGCCGAGATCGTGCCACTGCACTCCAGCCTGGGCGACAGAGCCAGACTCCATCTCCAAAAAAAAAAAAAAAAAAGAAACTGCCAAATTGTCTTCCAAAGTGGTTGTACCATGTTGCCTTCCCACCAGCAATGAAGGAGGGTTCCTGTTGCTCCACATCCTGAACAGCATTTGAAGTTTTCAGTGCTGTGGATTTTGATCATTCTTTTTTTCTTTTTCTTTTGAGACGGGGTCTCACTCCATTGCTCAGGCTGGAGTGAAGGCTGGATCGCGGCTCACTGCAGCCTCAACCTCCTGGGCTCAAGCAATCCTGCCATCTCAGCCTCCAGAGTAGCTGGGACCACAGTCACATGCTACCGTGCCCATATAATTTTTTAATTTTTTGTAGAGATGGGATCTTGCTTTGTTGCCCAGGCTGGTCTCAAACTCCTGGGCTCCAGTGATCCTCCTGCTTCAGCCTCCCAAAGTGCTGGGAGTACAGGTGTGAGCCACAGTGCCTGGTGACTGTGGTCATTCTAACAGGTGTGTATTGAGTACAGTTGTGAGCCACGATGCCTGGCGATTGTGGTCATTCTAACGGGTGTGCATGGGTTTCGCGTTGTTTGCGGTTCCCTAATGACATACGATGTTGAACATCTTTGTAGATGCTTATGTGCCATGTGAATGTCTTCTTTGGTGATATGTATGTTCAGTTTTTTTACCCATTTAAAAAACTGGGTTGTTCATTTTCTTATTGTTGAGTTGTAAGAGTTATTTGTATATTTAATTAATTAATTAATATTTTTTGAGACAGAGTCTCACTCTGTTGCCCAGGCTGGAGTGCAGTGGCGCGATCTCAGTTCACTGCAATCTCCGCCTCCTGGGTTCAAGTGATTATCCTGCCTCAGCCTCCCGAGTAGCTGGGATTACTACTACTGGTAGTAGTAATGGCGCCCGCCACCACACCCAGCTAATTTTTGTATTTTTAGTAGAGACAGGGTTTCACCATGTTGGCCAGGCTGGTCTCCAACGCCTGACCTCAATTGATCCGCTTACCTCAGCCTCCCAAAGTGCTGGGATTTCAGGTCTGAGCCAGTGCACCCGGCTCTTTGTATATTTTAGATAAAAGTCTTTAATCAGATGGGACTTTTGCAAATATTTTCATTCTCTTGCCATTGCCTTTCACAGAGAAGAAGTTTTTAATGTTAATGAAGTTCAGCTCATCAATTATTTCCTTCATGGATCATGCCCTTGCTATTGTATCTAAAATGTCATCACCATACTCAAGGTCATTTAGATTTTCTCCTATATTATCTTCTGGGAGTCTTACAGTTTTGCATTTTATTGAGGTTTATGATTCATTTTGAGTTTTTATGAAAGGTATAAGGTCTGTGTCTAGATTTTTTTTTTTTTTTTTTTTTTTTTTTTTTTTTTTTTGCTTGTGGATGTCCGGTTGTCCCAGCGTCATTTATTGAAAACACTATCTCTGCTCCATTGTGTGGCCTCTGCTGCTTTGTCAAAGATCAGTTGACACATTTATACAGGTCTATTAGAAATATTACTTTTAATATTCTGGGCTCTCTATTCTGTTCCATTGATCTATTTGTCTATTCTTTTGCCAGTATCATGCTGCTTTCATGACTATAGCTTTAGAGTAAGCCTTGAAGTCAGGTGGTATCAGTCCTCTGACCATTCTCCATCAATATTGATTTGGCTATTTTGGATCTTTTGCCTCTCCACATAAACTTTAGAGCCAGTTTATCCATATCTACAAATAACTTCCTGGGATTTTGATTAAGATTGTGTCATTATGTAGAATCTGTAGATCAAGTTGGCTATCTTGATCTGCTGCTATCTTGATAATATTGAGAACTGCTATCTTAATAATATTGAGTCTTCTGGCCTGTTGTGCTGGCGCACACCTATAATCCCAGCACTTTGGGATGCCGAGGAGGGTGGATCACCTGAGGTCAGGAGTTTGAGATCAGCCTGGCCAAAATGCCGAAACCCTATCTCTACTAAAAATACAAAAAAAAATTAGCCAGGCGTGGTGGTGTGTGCCTGTAATCCCAGCTACTCATGAGGCTGAGGCAAGAGAATTGCTTGAACCCGGGAGGCTGAGGTTGCAGTGAGCTGAGATGGTGCCACTGCACTCCAGCCTGGGTGACAGAGGGAGACTCCATCTCAAAAAAAAAAAAAAAAAAGAGTCTTCCTGTTCATAAACATAGAATGTCATCCCATTTATGAAGTTCTTTGATATCTTTCATCAGAGTTTTATAGTTTTTCTCATATAGATCTTGTACATATTTTGTTACATTTACACCTCAGTATTTCATTTTGGGGGATGCTAATGTAAATGGTCATATGTATTTAATTTTATTATTCATTTTTCTTTTTTTGTTTCCTGTCTTGCTCAAATATTTTTAATTCTAAATTCCAATTGTTCTTTGCTGGCACACACGAAAGCTGTTGACGTTAGGACACTAACCTTATATCATGAAACTTGTCTGAAATTGCTTCTTTGTTCTGGGGTTTTTTCCTTTTGTCAACTCTTAGATTTTTTAACATAGATGATTGTGTCATCTGTGAACAAAGCAGTTTTGTTTCTTCCTTTTTATTCTGTATACCTTTTATTTCCCTTTTGTGTCTAGTTGCATTGGCCAAGACCTCCAGCAGGATGTTGAGAATCGATGGTGAGAGGGGACGTTCTTGCCTTGTTACTAATCTTAGGGGAAAGCATCTAATTTCTCACCGTTAAGGATGATGTTAGCTGTAGGTTTTTGTAGATATTCTTTTATTTATTTATTTATTTATTTATTTATTTATTTATTTTTTGAGACAGAGTCTCACTCTGTCACCCAGGCTGGAGTGCAGTGGTGTGATCTCGGCTCACTGCAATCTCCGCCTCCTGGGTTCACACCATTCTCCTGCCTCAGCCTCCCAAGCAGCTGGGACTACAGGCGCCCACCACCACGCCCAGCTAATTTTTTGTGTTTTTAGTAGAGATGGGGTTTCACCGTGTTAGCCAGGATGGTCTCGATCTCCTGAACTCGTGATCCGCCTGCCTCGGCCTCCCAAAGTGCTGGGATTACAGACGTGAGCCACCATGCCTGGCCGATCATGTGATTTTTCTTCTCTAGCCTGTTGATGTAACGGATTGCATTAGCTGATTTTTGAATATTGAACCAGTCTTGCATACCTGGGATAAATCTCTGTTGGTCATGGCCTATAATTCTTTTTACATATTGTTGAACTGTATTTGCTAATATTTTGTTGGTAATTTTTGCATCTATGTGAGATATATTGGTCTATAGTCGTCTTGTAATGTCTTTGTCCCGTTTTGGCATTAGGGTGACAGTGACAAATGACTTAGGAAGTATTCCTCCTGCTTCTATCTTCTGGAAAAGATTGCAGAAAATAGGTATTATTTCCCCTTAAATATCTGCTAAAATTCACCAGCGAACTCATCTGTGCTGTGTGCTTGCTTCTTGATAAATGAATGCTGTGACTGCAGTTTTGTATGGAGACTTCATTACATTCCACTTTGGGGCATATGAGGGTAAAGCTACAGCTTTGTATGTAGGAGAGTGGCTTCACCTATTGGGAGAAGTCATTCTCCATGTAAGTTTGGAGTCTGCTCAGATCAAAGACTGTGAAGGTTAATATTGAGTGTCAACTTGATTGGACTGAAGGATGCAACGTATTGTTCCTGGGTGTCTCTCTGTGAGGGTGTTGGCAATGGAGACTAATATTTGAATCAGTGGACTGGGAGAGGCAGGCTCACTCTCAGTCTGGGTGGACACAATCTAATCAGCTGCCAGCATAGCCAGAATAAAGCAGGCAGAGGAATGTGGAAGGATTACACTGGCTAAGTCTTCCAGCCTTCATCTTTCTCCCGTGCTGGATGCTTCCTGCCCTCAAACATCGGACTTCCAGTTCTTCAGCTTTTGGACTCTTGGACTTACACTGGTGGTTTGTCAGGGGCTCTTGGGCCTTCTGCCACAGACTTAAGGTTACACTGTCGGCTTCCCTACTTTTGAGATCTTGGGATTCAGACTAGCTTCCCTGCTTCTCAGCTTGCAGACAGCCTATTGTGGACCTCACTTTGTGATCGTGTGAGTCGATACTCCTTCATAAACTCCCCTTTATATATACATCTATCCTATTAGTCCTGACCCTCTAGGGAACCCTAATACAAAGATTATATATATATTCTTTATATATATATATATATATATTTTTTTTTTTTTTTTTTTTTGAGACAGAGTCTTGCTCTGTTGCCCAGGCTGGAGTGCAGTGGCACAATCTCAGCTCACTGCAACCTCCGCCTCCTGGGTTCAAGAGATTCTCCTGCCTCAGCCTCCTGAGTAGCTGGGATTATAGGCGTGTGCCACCACGCCCAGCGAATTTTTGTATTTTAGTAGAGACAGGGTTTCACTATGTTGGCCAGGCTGGTCTCAAACTCCTGGCCTCAAGTGATCTGCCCGCCTTGGCCTCCCAAAATGTTGGGATTACAGGCGTGAGCCACCGTGCCCAACCAAAGATATTCCTTTGGGAGCTTCCTTCAACAGCACTTACCCACCCGCAAGAATGAGCTTGAACACCTGCTTTGCACCATGTGACCTCCTTTCTGACCCCATGACTACATTTTATTGGACCAGGCATAAACAACTGATGTAAATTGGACCAGTCAGATTCTCTCTTCAGGGATTTGGGATTTAGAACTAAGAGGCAGCTACCTAGTTTCTGCATAAAGTTGGAATTGAGATTTTCTAGACACAGGAATTGTGGACCAATTGTGTTGGAGTTATTACACCAGATAGGTGTAAAAGTCCCGCCTGCTGAGAGGATTCTGTGGAAGCTGATCAGGTTGCTGGGGCAAGTGGAGGCAGGGTAGAGGTGAAGGGCTGTGGGATGGAGAACCTCAGAAGACTCCATCTGGGGTCCGGGAAAGGACAGAGAGGGTATATGAGGGGTCGGGCCCTCCAGATCTAAGGGTGGGGTGGTGGCATGTTTCTTGAGTTGGTTCCTGGAAAGGGAGCTGAAATGGTTTAATCGCTCTTCCATGAAACGCAGGCGGTGGGGACAGCCACCAGACAGGTAAACACACTGTGCATTGATCCTTTTACAACTTTTGTGAAACTGATGGACAGGCAGGCAGGGAGGGGTCCTGGGAGAGAGTCTGGGGCACTCCATCTTGGGGTATCTCTTTCGCTCTCCTCCTTAGCGGGCGAAGCTTTGGCCTGTGCTGGGGTGGGGGAAGAAGAAGGTGATGTGGAGCATGAAGCAAGGTTGGGGTGGAGCAACTGAGGGTTTCCAGCATGGGTAACGGGGCTGATTAGGACTGGATCCAGCTGCCCCTAATGCTCCACTGCTGCCCAGCACTTAACCTCCACACTCTGTGCCCTCTGATGGTTGGGAGAAGTCTGTGTCCAGCCCTTCGGCCACCAGAAGAAAATCAGGAATGGAATTCCTGGTTTTGAAGACACAAAAAGTCAGAGAGACTTTATTTAAATAGAGTTAATTTGAAGTAAACCAGAGAGTTTTGTGTGCAGAAGCATTTTGCTTAACTTAGGGCCATCACCACATTATGAACTCTTGTGTGTGTGTGTGTGTGCACGCGCGCGTGCACAGGCTAGTGTCCTTCTGTGGGTGTGTCTGCGTGAGGACCCATCCATGCATGTTTGATCTTTATGGCCTCCCCCTGTGCACCTGCGCCTATGGATAAGGTATAGTCTTGTCTTGATTCCCAGTATTCATTCTCCTTGAAGAATCCTGACAGCCTTCAGTCACCTTCCCTTTTCCAGTCTCCCAAAAGCAATGGCGCCTTAAATGTGCGGTAAGGATGAGGTGAGTCTTGAGGTAGCCTAGGCCACAGCTGCCCCTTCAAGGCAAGGCCTCAGCTGAGTTCAGGAAATAGGAGAACCTGGCCCCGGAGCAACCCCAGAAGCGCAGGACCACGAACGTCCCGACCCCCAGCAGCAAGAGGCCGCCCAGGGCCCCAAAGAAGATGCCGAAGAACGCGTCGAGTTTCATGCTCAGGTGCTCACAGTGCTCGCCCCAGGCCGTGTAGATGGAGAAGGACACACAGCTGGTGACCAAGAGAGACAGACAGGCGGTCAGAGGCGGGAGCTCAGCCTCCCAGCCCCTCCTCTTCTGCTGGGGAAGAAGAGGTTCTGTAGGAGAGGCTGGGCTCGCCCCACTCTCCGGAGAGACTGAGTCAGCCCTGAGGCCGTGCTGAAGTGAGACCACTGGGCAAAGGAGGCAGGTGTGGGCTTTAAAAACATGGGCCTGGGCCGGCGCGGGGGCTCACGCCTGTAATCCCAGCACATTGAGAGGCTGAGGCGGGCGCATCACTTGAGGTCAGGGGTTCGAGACCAGACTGGCCAACACGGTGAAACCCCATCTCTACTAAAAATACAAAATTAGCCAGGCGTGGTGGTGCGCACCTGTAATCCCAGCTACTCAGGAGGCTGAGGCAGAATCGCTTGAACCTGGGAGGTGGAGGTTGCAGTGAGCCGAGATTGCAACACTGCACTCCAGCCTGGGGGACAGAGCAAGACTCCGTCTCAAAAAACAAAAACAAAAACCTGGTGTGAATTCAGCTGCACGTGCAGTCAGCTGCACCTGGGCGGCAGGGATGCCGGCCACAGGTGGGCATGCGCAGTCACACCCCCGCCCCAGCCCGGCCCCGCCCCGCCCCGCCCACCCGGAGAGCCGGGCCCCGCCCCACCCGCGCTCCGCCCGCCCCCTCCTTCGGCGGGATCTGGAACTGCAGCTGGCGGAGGGCCCGGAGCCCAGGTCTGCGTGGGGCCGCGGCTTCCTGCGCTGTTAACCAGCGGAGCCCCGGGGACTGCTGATGAGGGCAGGGGCAAAGGCGCCTCGCTTGACTGAGGGGCAGGACTGGCCTAGACACAGGACTGCAGGTTCTTTTCCCACAAGGAGACAGCAGGGAAGCAGCAGCCAGATCAGGTGGGAGGGTTTGACTTTGGGCCCTGGCGCGGTGGCTCACGCCTGTAATCTCAGCACTTTGGGAGGCCAAGGTGGACGGATCACCTGAGGTCAGGAGTTCGAGACCAGCCTGACCAACATGGCGAAACCCCGTCTCTACTAAAAATGCAAAAATCAGCTGGGCGTGGTGGTGCATGCCTGTAGTCCCAACTACTCGGGAGGCTGAGGCAGGAGAATCGCTTGAACGCGGGAGAAGGACGTTGCAGTGAGCCGAGAACGCACCACTGCACTCCAGCCTGGGCGACAAATGACACTCCATCTCAAAACATAAAAATATAAAAAATGTTTGGCTTTGGAAACCATGCCCTGCTGCTTAACCTACTGCGTCCTGGGGCAGGTTCCTTGTCATCTCTAAGCTGCAGTTTTCTCATCTTCGAAATAGTTCTAAGCCCCCCTATGGCTCTTTTGGGTTTCAGAGTTTGTAATATAGCGCCTTTATTCTCCACACAGAGCAGGCACTCACAACTCTCCTTTTCCACTGTCCTCTCTTCCCTGGTCTCTGATCTCTCGAGCCATCCTAATTCCTGGACCCCTTGCAGTGTCTTGCCCAGCTTGGGTTCCCCAGCACTGTCCTCCACCTCCTGGCCACAGCCCTATGCACCTGCAGCGGGGCCCACTGGGCAGGTGCTGGCACTGGCCTCCATGGTCACAGTAGCCCCTACTGCACGGGGACACGCAGGTGAAGCCGCTCTGGGGGCTGTAGACCAGGTCGTAGCCCTTGTAGCCATCGCATCTGAAGTAAGCCTTCAGCGTGCTCACGTTCACTGTCGGGAAGGACACAGATTAACACAGAAAGCAACCGATGAACACTAAATCAGTACCTTTTCAGCCACGAATTCCTTTTCGGGTGTTTATCCTGAGAAATAATTGGAGAAGTGCACAGATACATATGCCCCTGGACGTTCAGATCAGCGTGGTGGATAATAGTAACGTTTCAGAAGTAGGGTCTGGTTAAATAAACTACTGCACATCCTTACCAAGGGATGGTGCTTCCTATGGAAAAAGTTTCCTAGGGAAAAAGGTTCCTAGGGAAAAAGGTTCCTGTGGAAAAAGGTTCCTATGGAAAATGCTTTCCTGAAGAGCACATGCTTTGAAGGTGGCCAGACTTGGGTGGAAACTGAAACTCTGCTAGTGACTAGATGTGTAATTCAGGGAACATTCCTTCACTCTTTCAGCTTCAGTTTCCTTATCTTTAAAAGGAAATGATCATAATAGCACTTATGCTGCTGTGAGATTTAAATGAGATAATGTGTCCACAGTACTCAGTACAGTGCCGGACACACAGTAAGCACTCAAACAATGGTAATGATTATTATAATGTATTTTAAAATATGACACTATATTCAAACATACCATCATAATATGTCAAATGGGAATGTGGACAGAATATATGAGACAACCTGTTCACAACTGTTTAATGAGGAGGTTTTCCAACATTAGGAATGATTTGATCCTTCAGTAAAAAATGGATGTCTGAAGGTTCCTAGGCATAAAAGAAAGTTCAGAAGGATATGTAGGAAATACTGTTGTCTCTCTGGGGATTGGGATTACAGGGTTTTTTTCCTCTTTTCTTTTTGTTAAGTTTGTGTTTCCTAAAGTTTCTGCAATAAACATACGATGCTTGTATAATAAAAATTATAGGTTTTCCTTAATTGCATAGTCAGGGCTTGCCTCCCTGCGCCTCCTACCCCAACTCCCCAACATACAGTAGTTCTGAGGGATTTCACCCCCTGCTCCGGGAGAGAGCGGGCTTAGCCTGGATTCTGGGAGAAGCTCTTGCTTGGTCCCAGACCCAAGTAAAACAGCAGTTCCTGTTGTGTTTGGGGCGGCCCCTGCCCTGTTCTCTGCCCTATACAGAAAATAGGACGTGTTATTCCTTTGTTTCTCTGACAAGCTTGCCAACTTATTCCTGTTCCGGGAAAACCGGGGGCTGTCAGCACTGAAAGGGGGCTCAGAAATCCCATCTCATTTTCAGATGGGGGTGCTGAGGCCTGGCCTGGGGAAGGTGCTTGGGGAGTGTTGAGGCCTGGCCTCGGGGAGGTGCTGGGGGGTGTTGAGGCCTGGCCTGGGGAAGGTGCTGGGGGGTGTTGAGGCCTGGCCTGGGGAAGGTGCTGGGGGGTGTTGAGGCCTGGCCTGGCCTGGGGAAGGTGCTTGCACAGGGTGACACCATTTCAGGGAGTAGTTGCCTCTGTCCCTGGCCAGTCTCCAGTCTCCAGCTTCATATCCTCCCACTGGAGAGCAGAGACGATGGGGGTGTCCCTGTGTATGCTTAAGTGCAATGGCATTTTAAGAAAACTATTAGCAATTTTATGAAACTAAATTGCTGCTGTTTTATTAGCAGCCACAGTCAGCAAGGCCCTGGCTGGGTGCTTGCTCCGTGAAGCTGTATACGTGTGACTGCCTCAGCAGCGCTGGCTGCTCCTGCTCTCGAATCTAAAAAGCAGCTGGACAAAATGTTCACGTTTTCGCTCAAAACCAAACAAACAGAAAAACTCAATTAGCTTGTTTGTGTGGGCTGAAGCACCTCTGTTTGCCCACACCCCGCAGTGACCCCCATAGTGTCCCCGGAATGGACGGACTCACGGGCTGTCACATCGCGCACGTCTTCCCCGGAGATGGGCTGGAAGACCACGTCGTTCCTGGGCTCCTCACTCCTCCGTGGAACGTGGTATAAGAACGCCTCCACCACCGCGGCCAGCAGCTGGTTGTTCAGGAAGTCAATGACCGGGCCCCGAGGGCGGTACTGGAACTCCGAGATGACCATCCAGTGTTGGATGGGGCTTCCCGAGGCCGGTGCTGCAGAATCGCTGTGTGGGAGGGCAACGGTGAGGGGGGCTGGGGGGCTGGGGGTGGGGGATGAGGAAGAGATCTGGGGGCTTAGGGGGACACAGTCCCACTTACATTCGTTCCACTTGGCTGTTGCGGAGAAAGGCCCGCATGTCCAGGGTCCCCAGTCTGTATGCCACCTAGGTTAGAGGATGGCAGATGGGGGTGGGGGTGAGGCCCCATCCGGGGGGGAGACGCCCTCCCACCTTGATGGGTGTATTCATCCCTGTTTCCTCCTGGAACGGGAGCCCCAGGACCCCAGCACCTTCCTCACCTGTCTCTGCACCCTTGCACTCTAGCCTAGCTCAGTGAGTGTCATGGGTCCTTGCTTAATAATGTTTGTTGAGAGTGAAGGGTTTTCCATTCTGTCCCCCCCTCAGCCTCATATGACGAGCAGAGAATCTGACATGAATGGCCCCTACCTTGCCTCTGACACATGACTCATGACCTCCTCCCCAGTATATTGAACATGGGTTGTTTAGACCTAGGAGATGGTCGGGGCTGGGGGTGTCAAGGTGACTTAGGTGGAGTCTAAACTCAAAGAGTGCATTGTCTGGCGCAGGTGACAAATGTCAACAGATTTTACCGTGTGGAGTGTGGAGTGGGGAGTGCTAGGCTTGCAGTAGTGATAATAGCAGTCATCATGTTTGAATACTTGTGTGTCAGGCACTGGACTAAATGCTTGACACGCATTATCATTTAAACGGTGATACGGCCTGTTGACTCAGGTGCTATGATTGTCCCTGTGTTTACAGATGACCTGTTATATGATGTGTCTAGTTAGCACACCTGCTCTAGTGAGGGGCAGAGCAGGGATTCTGATTCTGGGTGTGCAGGATTCTACAGCCCCAACCACTCGGCAGTTGTGCCACTTTGCCTGTGACTGAGGTATGGCATGGCAGCCAAGAAGAGGGAGCCGCCCGTTCCCTCTGGGAAGTCAGGGAAGACTCCCGGGAGGTGAAATGTCCTTTAGTTTCTTTCAGATCATAACCAAGATGCTTAGAGGTCTCGGCTGGGGTGACTTGGCACCCTGGCCTCTGCTTATGATGAGTCGAGGTTTCTGTCTTGGGCCTTCCTCACTTCCTAATGCCCTGCACCTCCCATGGGGCAAGAGGCTCCGGCCTCCTCTGGCAGTTGAATCCAGATGGATGACAAGATGAAGGCCGCACAGCGATGGTTCCGCCCTGGCCTGAACCCGCCAAGCGCCCCCTCCCACCCAGAGCGCGGCCTGCAGTACTGACCGAGGCGTTGACCTCTGCCATGGAGGCATTTTCCTCTTCACTGAGCAAGAGCTGGATGACTCTTAAGGGAAGTTCTGGAGATGGGAGAAGCAAATGTATCATCACCCCACGGTTTACCCAGACTTACCCAAAAAGTCTGTCGGGCCAGCCCAAGTTGACTGCTCCATTCCAGTGACAGAAGGTCACTGAAGAAACCGGGAGAAGTGGCCCTCACCCTACATTCCACAGTGACAGAAGGTCGCTGAAGAAACCGGGAGAAGTGGCCCTCACCCTACATTCCACAGTGACAGAAGGTCGCTGAGCAAACCGGGAGAAGTGGCCCTCACCCTACATTCCACAGTGACAGAAGGTTGCTGAAGAAACCGGGAGAAGTGGCCCTCACGCTAGGGCTCACTCCACTATGCTCCGGGCCTCCCCAGCGCTCATCTCACTGAGCCAGCTGTGAGGTCTCTGCCTCCGTCCTTCCTCCATAGGCCACACAGGCCCGTGGTCCTTGCCGTGACAGCTTGCCTCGCCAGCTCCCATAGCCCGCACCTTACACCATCCCAGAGAAATCTGGAGCTCTGTCCTGTGACCCCAGAGCTTCCTCATCTTCCCCAAAGGTGGGCGGAGTGCGGGGGTGAGAGGGTGGGGCCCAGGAAGAGTGCGGGGGTGAGAGGGCGGGGTCTCTGGCGGTACCTAGGTTGACAGTTGGACTGAAGTTGTTCCCAGCCAGGAAGCAGCGGCTGTCAGTGAAGGCTGGGGGGCAGGTGCACATGGGCTGACAGCCCAGAGTCTGGGAGATGTAGCAGTGGCCTTGATTGTAGCAGTAATTCACAGGGCAGGACTGGTTCTGACACAGGAAAGAGCTCCCCAGAGCTGCAGAGTGAGTAGGGAGGTCAGCAGCAGCGCGCAGGGCAGCAGAGGGACGGCCCAGCCCGTGGAAACCCGCTCCGGGACAGGCTTGCTTTCCCCCAGTGTTCCACTTCGGGCCACTCGGAACCCCAAACCATCCTTCCCCCCTTTTCCAGGCGTTTCTCTGCAGGGCAACCCCTTTCCCCGGCCAGACAGGTATTCTTCCGCTTTTGTGGAGGGACTGGAGTGTTTCTCAGACCCTCTGCTTCAGAAAGGACCCCGAAGGCTGGCAGAGGAGGGGCCCCCAGCTGGCTTTCCTCACGCCCTCCCCTCTCACGTCCATCTCCTTTTCTGCCTTTATAAAAGCTGCGGTTCTACCCACTCTGGCCTCGGCTCTGAAGGCACAGTGATCTGTAGATTTTATTTGGGTGCCTTAGGGGGCTTGGTAAAGGCCTCGCTGTGATCTCCCTCATCAGACTCTGGTGACTCAGAGCGGGAGGAACAGATGGCTGGGAGGACTCAAAGGGAAAATCAGGCACCTTTGCTGCCGGATCCCCACGCCAGCCCCTCCAAACGTCCTGACTCGTGAGATGCAGAGATCCTGAGCCTCGTGTCTCTGAAGATCCCCAGGGATCCCGAGGACCCAGCTTGCCCGGTTCTCTGGCGGCTGCTGAAGTCTCCTCCCCAAACCATCTTCAGTCTTTCGCCCGGGGCTCCCCCCATCAATGCCTCAGGGATGCCCAGCCCCGTCCCCTCCCCTATGCCTGTACAACCTCTTCTCCTTCAGCCCCACACCATCCACCACCCCCTTTCCAGGCCTGCCTAGATTTCCCATACCTGCCTAGATGATTTCCCACACCTGCCTAGATTTCCCACACCTGCCTAGATTGAGCATTCTAAAGATCTGCTGGAAAAAGGAGAGAAATGGTTTGCCTTTGGCTGTCTACACCCTTGAGCTATCAGCTGCTCCCAGAAGCGCCTGCTCCAGGCCCTGTTCCCGGCTCACCCGCACAGTGCCGCCCATCCCCAGTCAGGTTTGGAGGGCAGGCCTCGCAGCCCTTCCCAGGAACGCAGTGGACACTCGGGAAGCACGGCTCCTCACAGGCATCCTCGGAGCCCTCGCAGTAGCGGCCGAAGGTGCCCCCGTCACACTTGCAGCCAGCCACCTGGAGGAGGGTTGCCGATCACGGGCGGCCAGGAGACCAAACTGGGAAGGGCTTCTGGGTGTTTCTGACTGACCCCTTTGGCCTGAGAACCCGTGGACCCTGAGTCATGTCTCAGCCCCACCAGCACCTGCTGAGCACCTTCTTGACCAGGCCGTGGGGCGGCAAGGCCCTGCCTAAAGCCACACGGTAGTCCTGCCCAGTTGGCCTCCCTGGGTCATTGTTTACCCTGACCCCCTGCCTGGCCCTGCACCAGGATCTCAGCCTCTTCCCTCTCACACTCTAGCTCTTTGCCTGAAATCCTTTCTAGAGTAAGATGGGGGATGCATGAATGATTGAAGCATGAATGAATGAATGAATGTATCCATGTATAGATGTATGTATCCATGTATGTATTTATCCATGTATGTATGTGTGTATCCATGCATGTATGCATGTATGTATCCATGTGTGTATGTATCATGTATGTATCCATGTAGATATGTATTGATGTATGTATCCATGTATGTATGTGTATCCATGCATGTATGCATGTATCCATGTATGTATCCATATGTGTGTATCCATGTGTGTATGTATCCATGTGTGTATGTATCCATGTGTGTATGTATCCATGTATGTCCTATTGCTTGAAAACTGGATTCCTTATTTATTTTGAGACAGGGTCCCACTCGGTTGCCCAGGCTGGAGTGCAATGTCTTGATCTTGGCTCACTGCAAACTCCACCTCCCAGGTTCAAGCCATCCTCCCACCTCAGCCTCCCGAGGAGCTGGGGCTACAGGCATGCACCACCACGCCCACTAATTTTTGTATTTTTCTTCTGCTTTTTTTTTTAATGAGACAGTCTCGTTCTGTTTCCCACGCTGCAGTGCAGTGTCTCGATCTCGGCTCACTGCAATGTCCCCCTCCCAAGTTAAAGCAATTCTTGTGCCTCAGCCTCCCAAATACTTGAGATTACAGGCATATGCCACCACGCCCAGCTAATTTTTTGATTTTTAGTAGAGACAGGGTCTTGCCATATTGCCCAGGCTGGTCTCAAAGTCCTGAGCTCAAGCAATCCGCCTGCCTCAGGCTCCTATGTGGCCTGCAAACTGGATTTCATATAAGCTGAAATTGACCTCCCTTGCTGACTCCCAAACCAAGAAGACAGAGCCTCCCTGCTGAGCACTGTGAGAAAACACAGCAGCCAGTACAGCAGCTCAGCAAAGGCTGCGGCGCCGAGACCTCACCAAGCTCCCTGCGCTCCCCTTTCTAACTCCCTTACTGAAGCGACTCGGGGAATCTCCCTAAAATGGAATCCTCTAACACTTGCTACTCCCAAGAGTGGATATTTGGGGATCTGTGGAATAGTATATTGATTTCAATCTCTTTTTCCCATTGTGTATTTTATGCTTTTCTACCCCCTACCCCACCAACCGTCCCTACCTCTATCCCTTTCGAGTACCCATTCTCTGCTCATGCTTCAGAAGGATGTGTGTGTGTGTCTGTGTGTGCGTGTGCATGCGTGTGTGTGTAAGTGGTGAAGGAGGTAGTTTTGTGTTGCCAGATAAACACTTTCCTTTCTGGCTCTTCCTTTACAACCAAAAATAAAAATAAAAAAGCAGATAGGACAAGAGTCGTGGAATTAGGCCAAGTATCTTGGCTAGAAACATGGAGAAGTAGTTTCTCCAAACTGGAAAAGATGTTTCTTTTAGCTGGAAGGAGATAGTAAAAGAGAAAGCAAAGGGGCTTGGAGGTGTCAAGATAGAGGGACCCGCAGCTCTCTTCCCAGCACCGTGATGATGACATCCTAGGGAGAAATGACTGTGGGGTGCTTCTAGGCAGACGGGACTGTAAGCGGCCTCAGAAAAGGTGTCCTGTGTCTGAGCAAGGCACAGAAGCAGCAGAGCCTCTCCCTGGGTCTGAAGGGGAAGTGGGGCGGAGCTGTGATGGAAACCTGTGTGGACTCACGCCCAGGGACCCACAACCACCTTCCACCCCACACCGCAGGGCCCTCTGCTGGGCTTCGCCGCAGAGCTGTGGGGCGCTGTGAGAAAGACGGAGGTGGAAGTTTCTTGCCAACCTGGCAGAAGGGGAGGTGGGAGATAAAAATCCAGTTGAACTATAAGCAATAAAGTAAGGTTCTTTCCTCTTTCCTTCCTTCCTTCCTTTTTCTTTCGTCCTTCTTTTTCTCCAATATAGTTTCTTTCTTTCTTTCTTTTTCTCCTTTCCCTTTCTTTCCTTTCCTTTCTTTCCTTTCCTTTCTTTCCCTCCTTCTTTCTTTCTTTTCTTTTCTTTTCTTTTCTTTCTTTTTGACATAGAGTCTCACTCTGTTGCCCAGGCTGGAGTACAATGGCGCAATCTTGGCTCACTGTAACCTCCACCTCCCGGGTGCAAGCGATTTTCCTGCCGCAGCCTCCCGAGTAGCTGGGACTACAGGCGCCTGCCACCACGCCCAGCTAATTTTTGTATTTTTAGTAGAGATGGGGTTTCACCATGTTGGTCAGGATGGTCTCGATCTCCTGACCTTGTGATCCGCTTGCCTCAGCCTCCAAAAGTGCTGAGATTAAAGGCGTGAGCCACTGCACCCGGCCAGAAAGTTCTCTTTCTTCCCATGTGAGTTTGTGGCCTGAGACTGGAATCTGCTCTACTCACCTACCACTGCTCCACCCATCTCCCAACACAGACACACCCAGGACAGGCAGAATCACAGCATCCATTCCACTCCCATTTCCTCTCCCCTCGGCACAGAAACTCCTCCCCCACCTCCCAACACTCACCTCCAGGGAGGAGTTGCCCACCCTGCTGGTCTGATTGTACAAACACTGGCTCTCTGCATTGCAATGGCAGACCACAGTCCTGGGCTGGAGTGCAGATGCCAAGCCAATCTTGGCACTTCTTGCTAGAATCTCCAGAGTGAATGGCTCCAGCGACTTGGGTGTCCACAGCAACGTCCCATTCTCTGCCCCGGGGAAGATGAGAATGTTGAGAGCTGGGAGACTCCTCAGCTCTGTGGTCTGATTGCTGATACGGGGCTTCCCCCACCCCTCTCAGGCCACCCTCCCCCTCCCCAGACAAATCTCATTGGTCATTTCCTTTGAGCAAGGCTGGTATCGGGGGTGATCCTGGTCACGCTCCCAGCTGGAAGGACGTGGCACCAGTCCAACATACTGATTGTAGCGGGGAACGCCACAGAGGGGAAAGCAGTTTCCTCCTGAAGAAACCCCAAAGGGCAGCCCTGGCTGGGCTCACACCAGGATGGGACATCCTGGGGGATGGAGGATCAAGGCCAGGATCCTCCAGACACCTCCCCAGGCTGCGCTGCCGGCCAAACTGGCTTCACTCTCACGGCAGCCCCATCCTTTGCCCTGATTTCTCACCCACCCCCCACTTCCTGGACCTTTCCCAGACACCCCCTTCAGACACCAGACTGTAGTGAAACACTACTACATATCTTCAGATCAAACTGATATTTTTCAAGAAAATAGGAAAGTCTCCTTAAAACAGCAGATTGAAAGGAAGTGACAGAGAATAGACGAACGTAATTTCCAGACCATCGTCCTTCAGGGGTGGGGCCCGTGGAGAAGAAAACCTCTCAGTGCCATTGTCTCGCACCTGGGAGGACGCACGTGGGGCAAAAGGGATGCAGGCAAAGCAGTCCCTTCTGAGACACGGAGAAAAAGAACATCAGGCAGAGAGGCAAAGAGAACGCAAAATATGCCCCCCGGGGCTTTGGTTTAGCCAAGAACAGTCACCCTCAGAATTAGTGCTGGCAACAGACAGAAAGTGGCATCCCTTTGATGCCCTTGGACCCTTTGAATTAGTGCTGGCAACAGACGAAAGCAGCGTCCCTTGTGCTTGGAGCCTTTGGCCCTGATCATGGATGTAGGGCTCGGGGTCTCTAACACCTTTACGGAGAGGGAGCGATGGCACTCTACTGGGTCCTAGCCCAGGAAACCAGACAAGGAGAGACACGGCTAGGTAAACATGGTTACCAGACAAAAAGAGCAAGAAAGGTACCAAACGAAAGTATTTTTCATATTTCTTTAAATCTTGTCCTACATTAGAGCCTTCCTTTAATAGATATAAAAATGTTGTAAATTGGTCATTTTAAATGTTGCACTTGATTATTCTAATAATTTGGTGAATGCATAATGACTAAAGATGACTATATATGATCAGATTGAGATTAAATGATCTTTGAATCTTTTTTTTTTTTTTTTTTTTGAGACAGAGTCTCGCTCTGTCACCAGGCTGGAGTGCAGTGACGCGATCTCAGCTCACTGCAACATCTGCCTCCTGGGTTCAAGCGATTCTCCTGCCTCAGTCTCCTGAGTAGCTGGGATTACAGGCATGCACCACCATGCCTGGCTTTTTTTTTTTTTTGTATTTTTAGTACAGACGGGGTTTCACCATGTTGGCCAGACTGGTCTCGAACTCCTGACCTCAGATGATCCGCCCACCTCGGCCTCCCAAAGCGCTGGGATGACAGGCATGAGCCACCACGCCCAGCCTTGAATCAGTTCTATGTGCCCAGAGTCACTCTAGCTATCTGGCCAAACCGCCGTAAGCCCGTCACTACTACTTACTGGGGGGCACCTATTTGAGTTATAGATATCGCTCCTCGGAAATGCCGGTCCTGGATATTCAAATGAAAGAGTGACAGCAAGTGTTGCTGGGTGTAGCAATGCAGAATTTCCCAAATTTGACTCTGACCTCATCCCCTACCCACCTCCCCACTCTCCCCAGCCAGCCAAATAGTCCTACCAAAGAGCTCCAAGTCGGTGCAGCTGTCTCTGAGCGTGAAGTTGGCATCCTCAGCATTGCTGGTGTACTGAATCAGCGTGGTCTGCCCCTTGTAGGCTTCAATCACACGACCACCATTGATGGAGGGCGGGTACTGATCTGAAACACAAAGAGGGAATGGGGGTTCCGAGGCAGGACAGTCTCCTGCTTTATCAGCCTCCTCTCTTTCTCAACTCTAATATGTGTGAGGCATTCCCAGGACTGTGACCCACCTCTGGAAGAAGGAATTATTCTGTGTACCTGCTCTCGACTGACGCACAGCAGGCTGGGACTGTACTGCCCACCTAGCCAAATCTTTAGCCTCTTTCTCTCCCCCCACCTCCTCAAAAAGAGCTCCTTTCAGATTCTTTCCTGAACACAGTGCTATGCTGGGTATGACAAAAAGTGAATTAGAGAGCAGATTTGTTTGGACCATTACAAAGGGTTGTACCCTTAGACCAAAGGGTTGTACCTTTGGCAAAGGGCTGAAAACCTGAAGGGTGCTGGGTGTCTCATGTCTGTAATCCCAGCACTTTGGGAGGCCGAGGCCGGTGGATAACCTGAGGTCAGGAGTTCGCGACCAGCCTGACCAACATGGTGAAACCCTGTCTCTACTAAAACTACAAAATTAGTCAGGCATGGTGGCGGGTGCCTGTAATCTCAGCTACTCAGGAGGCTGAAACAGAAGAATCACTTGAACCCGGGAGGCAGAGGTTGCGACGAGCCGAGATCACGTCACTGCACTCCAGCCTGGGCAACAAGAGCAAAACTCCGTCAACACACACACACACACGCACGCACGCACACACACACACACACGCACAAAACCTGGAGGGTCACATCTAAAGGGACATTGCATTTGTCCAGAAATAGAGAGGGAGTAAAACCTCTTCACGGGTCTGTTTCTCGGAGCCCTGCCATTTCCATTTCATAGTTGCTTCACACATTCATTCAGTCAGTCATTTAACAAACATTTATTGAGCTAAGTGGCTGGCACTGTTCTGGGTGGTGAGGATACAGTCATGAATGAATAATTAAAAAGATACCTGTGAAAATTATAAAATATGTTGAGTAATTATAAATGCTAAGGAGAAAAAAATAAAGCAGGGAAGGCAAACATGAAGTGTGGGCGAATGTGACATTTTAGACAGGGCGGCCAAGAGAGGCCTCACCAAGGAGGGGACATTGGAATGAAGACGTAAAGGAGGTGAGGGGCAAGCGTGTGGCTGTCCAGGGAAGGAAGGGTATTCCAGGCAAGAGAACAGCACGTGTGAAGCCTGGGAGCTGAGCGCACCTAGCGTGTTTGAAGAACACAGAGGAGCCTGCGGGGCTGGAGTGCAGGGAGCTGGGAAGGCGTCCAGCGCTAGGATGGAGTGGAGGGGCTGGGAAGGCGTCCAGCGCTAGGATGGAGTGGAGGGGGCTGGGAAGGCGTCCAGCGCTAGGATGGATGGAGGGGGCTGGGAAGGGGTCCAGCGCTAGGATGGATGGAGGGGGCTGGGAAGGCGTCCAGCGCTAGGATGGATGGAGGGGGCTTGGAAGGCGTCCAGCGCTAGGATGGATGGAGGGGGCTGGGAAGGCGTCCAGCGCTAGGATGGAGTGGAGGGGGCTGGGAAGGCGTCCAGCGCTAGGATGGAGTGGAGGGGCTGGGAAGGGGTCCAGCACTAGGATGGAGTGGAGGGGCTGGGAAGGGGTCCAGCACTAGGATGGAGTGGAGGGGGCTGGGAAGGCGTCCAGCACTAGGATGGAGTGGAGGGGCTGGGAAGGCGTCCAGCGCTAGGATGGAGTGGAGGGGGCTGGGAAGGCGTCCAGCACTAGGATGGATGGAGGGGGCTGGGAAGGCGTCCAGCGCTAGGATGGATGGAGGGGGCTGGGAAGGGGTCCAGCACTAGGATGGAGTGGAGGGGGCTGGGAAGGCTTCCAGCGCTAGGATGGAGTGGAGGGGGCTGGGAAGGCGTCCAGCGCTAGGATGGATGGAGGGGGCTGGGAAGGCGTCCAGCGCTAGGATGGATGGAGGGGGCTGGGAAGGCGTCCAGCGCTAGGATGGAGTGGAGGGGGCTGGGAAGGTGTCCAGCACTAGGATGGAGTGGAGGGGGCTGGGAAGGCATCCAGCGCTAGGATGGAGTGGAGGGGGCTGGGAAGGCGTCCAGCACTAGGATGGAGTGGAGGGGCTGGGAAGGCGTCCAGCGCTAGTATGGAGTGAAGGGGGCTGGGAAGGCATCCAGCGCTAGGATGGACGGAGGGGGCTGGGAAGGCGTCCAGCACTAGGAGAAGAGCTCTGAGAAGCTGAACTGGGCCGAAGGCCACTGCAAGGATGGAGAGAGCCAGGGAAGTCTCTGAAGGGTTTGAGCAGAGGAATGCCAGGAGTGGAAGAATCTGCTCAGTGAATGCAGATGCACAGGGAAAAGCAGGGTCAGGCAAGGGCAGCTCCTCATCTGCTCCCGACTCTGAAAAGGCCTCCCCGGGCCTCGGGCCACTTACTGAGGGTGGCGTTCGCCTGCTCGTAGTTTTTACTGACTTCCCTCGTGTGAAGTCCGATGCTTGCGTTGCGCAGGGCCAGGGTGTCATAGATGCATGAGCTATCTCCGTCACAGTTGGAGATCAAATGTTCAGCCCAGGAGCTGTTTTTTTGCAGTTGTGAGTAGAAAACAGGGGTGAAGTTGGAAGGCAGCTGGTCATTCCTCTTGCCAAGGAGGCCTGTCCCGTTGATCTGCCCTGTAACACACAGAGCGCGGTGGTACCAGGCATGGCACTCAGCCTTATTCCATCTGTGTCCACCTCTACCCCTCACTTTAGATGGCTTGGAGCGGGGCGGTGGGAGTGCAGGGCCAGAGCGGTTTCCAGCTTCTGAGTCTAGAAACACCTGCTGCAGTGAGAGAGGACACTCCACGTCCCCCATTCTCTCCTCCAGGTAGAGAGAGGCAGGTGGGCTGGTGGTGGTGGGGACAGCCCTGGGGGGGCACAGATTCCTCAGACCTTAGGGAGGATGGAGGTCTGCTTCCTACAGGGCCGAGGGGGACGACATAAACATACCGGCTCCCCTCACCTGCCCCTCTGCCCCAGGACCCTGCCCAGACTCACAGGTCATTCCAAAGTGGAAAAGCATCTCCTCAGGGCTCCCTGGGGGAATGGTGGAGCCATTGGGCATCCTGAAGTCGTCCTCTGGATTGTTATTCCAGACCCCTGAGGGACAGAGTGGGAGGTTGGCCACCCTGGGCACGCGGCTGTCCCCTTCCTGGGGAGCATCCGGCGGACGCAGTGGGGAGAGGCCAGGGCCTGGCAGCCTCTGCTCTTGCACCTGCTGTCAGGCCTCCAGGGGAGCCGGGAGGACGGGCCCTCACACCCTGCCCGTCTGCCTTCGGGAGGGGCGGGAGGAAACGCGGGCAGCGGTGGAGGAGGGCGGGAGGATGTGGGAGGCAAGAGGAAAGGGAGAAAGGATGGCTGTGCCCCCCGCCTCCCCGCAGCCCCCCCTGATGCTCCCTTAGAGCGGGCGGAGGACAGGAAGGGAGCCTCGGGGGAGGCTGGAGAAGCCCCTCGGCTCCCGGCCCGCTCTGTGCCCCAAGGGTTCTGCTCCAAGGAGGCGGAGAAAGGGAGGCCGAGCAGGGCTGCCCGGGCCGCCGGCGTGGGGGTCCGAGCTCCGGCTGGCTCCGCGGAGCCTCAGAGGCAGGTCCGAGCCGCCCTCACCCAGGAGCCCCTCCGTGCGGTTCTGGTACTCGGGCGGGAGGCTGGCGGAGGAGTGGAGGATGTTGGAGAGCGCGATCACCGAGACGGTGGCCCAGCCGTCGAAGCTGGCGGAGACCTCAGAGCCGTTGCGGCTCAGGAGGACTCCGGTGGCGTTGAACGTCTCCTGGCCTGGAGCATCGGGAGGCAGCGGAGAGGAAGCCAGGTCGGCACCACGGCCCGCACCAAACCCGCGCCCTGCCGGGCCCGCACCACCCCCACCCCGCCCCTGGGGCTGAAGCCGGGAGGGGTCTGCACTGGAGGCGGAGAAGAGGCCGGCGAGCTGCACGCCCCGCTCGGGGGTAGAGGCTGCGCTCTCTTGGCCCTGCACCGCCACGCACTGGGCCCTGCACCGTCACGCACCGGGCCCGGCACCACAACGCACTCGGCCCTGCACCGCCACGCACCGGGCCCTGCACCGCAACGCACCCGGCCCTGCACCGCAACGCACCGGGCCCTGCACCGCCACGCACCCGGCCCTGCACCGCCACGCACCGGGCCCTGCACCGCCACGCACCGGGCCCGGCACCACAACGCACTCGGCCCTGCACCGCCACGCACCGGGCCCTGCACCGCAACGCACCCGGCCCTGCACCGCAACGCACCGGGCCCTGCACCGCCACGCACCCGGCCCTGCACCGCCACGCACCAGGCCCTGCACCGCCACGCGCCCGGCCCTGCACCACAACGCACCCGGCCCTGCACCGCCACGCGCCCGGCCCTGCACCACAACGCACCCGGCCCTGCACCGCAAAGCACTCGGCGCGGCACCGCCACGCGCCCGGCCCTGCACCACAACGCACCCGGCCCTGCACCGCCACGCGCCCGGCCCTGCACCACAACGCACCCGGCCCTGCACCGCCACGCGCCCGGCCCTGCACCGCAACGCGGCTTCTCGCCCACCTCGCTGCTCCCGGTGCGGGGAGGGGGCGGCCGGCGCTCCCCAACCTACCTCCGCCGTCTTCATGGTCAGGCTGAAATGTCACAGTCTGGTTATCCAGCAGGACACGGATTGCGTCGTGAGGCTCAAGGAGCCATTGGACCTGGAAGGAGATGGGAGGGGGCCTGAGCCCGACCCGCAGGTGGAGCCGACGCCCAGGAAAGCAGCTGGGAGAGCCCCTGGGGCTGGAAGCTGCGCCCTGGGCCGGGAGGAAGGCGCTGGAGGCCGCGGCCTGAGGTGATGCCAGCCGCCGTCTACCGTGTGCTCGGCAGGGCCAGGCATGGTTTTCGGATTATGCCCTTTAGCTCTTACAACAGCCCGTGAGGCAGGTAATGTCATCCCCATTCTTACTAGGAGAAAACCAAATTAAGTAGTTTCTTCGAAGCCAAGCAGCTGGGAAACCGTGGGGCCAGAGCCCTAATCCACCATCACCAGGATTTACTCCGGGACAGCTGCGTGGATGGGCTGTGTCCTCCCTCCCTCCTGCCCGGCTTCCCCTCCTTCGCTCTCTTCCTTCTCCTCGGCCTCAGTATGTGGCTGAAGGTCCCTGTGGGTGGAATGCAGGGAGGTCCCCGGCACCCCTCACTCACCGTGACGGGGCCCAGGCTGCTGGAGCGGTACTGAGCCGCAAAGGCGATGAAGTTGGTGGCCTGGGCTGAGCCAGTCTGGGCGGTGCGGCCCTGAAGCAGGAAGGAGGAGTTCCCGTCTTGGGCCCCGACCAGCAGGAAGTCCCCCAGCCCATTGAAGGTGTAACTGACACCATCCAAGGTGGTGATGTGGGGGTCCCCGAACATCCAGGCTGGAAGGAAAAAAGAGATGCTGCCTCAGCATGACAAATCATGTGTAGGGCTGAGGTTCCTCACTGCAGTCAGGTGCGGCACTTGTCCAGGAGGACTCAGGGTGAGGTTCCTCACTGCAGTCGACTGGGGCACTTGTCCGGGCGGACTCAGCTGGGGAGATGTTCACAGAGCACAGAATCCTCCCCTCAAGCCTCCTTGCATTTTCGTGCCCCGCTATTCTCACTCCTTCCCCAACTCAGGTACAAAGCCCCTCCACTGACCATCCACCCATCACTGGCGTCATCTCCATCTTCCCTTGTGGCCACAGCTCTGCCCCTACTCCTTAACCACCTCCCGGAAGCCCAGAAGCTCCCCCTCCCCAGAGGCTCTTCCTGGGCCTGGGCCCTGTCGCTCACCGGGCTGTGGGGGCCTGTATGTAGCACAGCCCACGTGGGGCCGCCTCTGCTGGTACAGGGCACAGAGGTAGGGCTTGTCATTCCAGCGGCAGCACCAGCTCTGTGGCTCCAGTTCCTGGGCTGCGGAGAACAGCAGTGAGTCGGGGAGGTTGAGGACCTGGAGAAGCTTGGCAGGGCAGGGTGGTGTTGGTTGAGAGCTTGGCAGGGCAGGGCGGTGTTGGTGGAGAGCTTGGCAGGGCAGGGCGGTGTTGGTGGAGAGCTTGGTAGGGCAGGGCGGTGTTGGTGGCAAGAGCATGGCTTTGGAATCCAGCATGGCCCTTCTCATGACCTTGGGCAGTGAATAGGGTGCTGTCTCTTTTGCAGGCATTGGGGCCACTGTGCAGCAGGGCGCATGGTAGGAGCTAAGCAAATTTCCTGTCTTGAGGGTGGAGAGCCAAGTACTGCTGCTCTCAACGTGCTGGGAGTGGGGAGGGCACAGCTGACGGTCTGGGAACTGTGGAAACTGCCATGGGACGGGGGAGAGAACGGGAGGACACAGACCACGTGACCCCACACCCCTGCGCTCTCCAGCTCCCTTGGAGCGTCTCTGTGGGAGCTGACTCTCAGTCTTCCCCCAAACATCCTGCTCATCTGGGTCTACAGGGACGGGGTCAGCCTAGGCGCTCTCTTCTTGCCTGGAGAAATGGCCCCACTCTGGCCTGGGGATGTGGAGCCAGGTATAGAGATGAGGAAAGAGGCTCTCAGCTCATACATCCCCGAATGTCCGCTGGTGGGGATGTTGGAAGCTTCCTAACGTTACCCGATCAGGAAGTGGAGGCCCAGAGAGGGGAAGGGTCTGGGAAGGAATGAGGACGAGAGGCTTCATGCTGAGGGTCCCCTACTTGGCCGGGAAGGTGGGGTTGAGATCACGGACTCACGCACCCAACTGCCAAGGACGCTGCACGTGCCAGCCTTCACGAAACTCTCCCCAGGGCCCGTAGCTGCAGCACACGCCTCCTCGCCAAGAGGTGAAGCTGCACAGCTGCCTACTGCCGAGGCCCCAGCGACCTGAAACAAGTCCAGTCCCACTCAGGCCCAGGCCGGGGCTGCCAGGGGCGGGGTGGGAACAAGCAGGGGCTGTTTCTGGGGAGAGGCTGAGGGCGTGAGCAGAGAGGGTGGTGGGTGGGCTTGTGGGGGGCGGGAAGGAGGTGTCACCTATGCTGACGGGTTGGAATCGTAAGTCCCGTCGTCCCTGCTGCCAGGAACAAGGGCAGGAGACCTGGTTCCAGCCCCAGCTGGGCCACCGAGGCTGGCTCTTCAGCCACTGCAGGCACTCGAGACGGTAGTTGGGCCTTTCTTCCCGGTGTAGCCTGTAGAACTGCAGCCCTTGGAGGCCTGAGGTCGGGGATGGGGGGGAAAGGGCTTATCCAGGGCTGGGGCTGCAGGCCCTGTCTCAGCTTTAGGGTCAACCAAAACTCACAAATGCACCCCCTCCTGCCACTTCTCACCTCTTTGGACCCAAGTCAGATGGGCAACAATTCCTCCCCCAAAGCCCCTCGCTTGACTTAGCGTCTGCTTCTGACGACCAAACGTGGTTGCCACAGAACAAATAGAACTGGATTTACACTTCACAGTTCACGTGGCTGGTTTCTAAGGCTAAAATGTCCTTCAACCTATCACATTTTGGAAACTATTATTTCTTTCCCATTGGGGCCTCTGGACTGAGTCATGGAGAAGGCGCCATTGTTTGCCTCTTGACGCTTGTCTTTCTACCCGCATGAAAGCTCTTTGAGAGAAAACACAGTTGGTCTTTTTCCTTTGTTTCTGGCTGTTAGCACGGTGTCCAGCACACGGCAGGTGCCCAGTAAATGATGACAATGAACGTGAGACCTCCGGGCCTCTTCTTGGTGGATTCTCTCTTTTTGAGATGGAGTCTCACTCTGTCACCCAGGCTGGAGTGCAGTGGCGCGATCTCGGCTCGCTGCAACCTCCACCTCCCAGGTTCAAACAATTCTCCTGCCTCAACCTATTGAGTAGCTGGAATTACAGGTGTGCACCACAACGTCTGGCTAATTTTTGTATTTTTAGTAGAGACAGAATTTCACCATGTTGGCCAGGCTGGTCTCGAACTCCTGACCTCAAGTGATCCGCCCACCTCAGCCTCCCAAAATGCTGGGATTACAGGTGTGAGCCATGGCGCCCAGCCGGTAGATTTTCTTAAAGGATCTCACCTGGGTTCTCATTCCTGCTCTGGACAGGACACTTGGAGTATTGTCTGAACTGCCCATTCAAATCCCACCTCCCACAAGACCCTGTCCTCACTTCCAGGATCTGGGCCCCCCGAGAGCCCTCTTGGGCTGGTTCATCTGAGGGAGGAGATGTAGCCCCCTCTGAGACTGTGCTGTGTCCAGGGGTGCAGGAGGTGCCAGCTGCTCCCTGGGTGGTGCCACATCCCACCTAGACCTGTAGGAGGTTGAACTGTGTGGGGGAGGCCCTTCAGGATGGCCGTGATGTTAGGGAGGTGCCCTCTAGGACTGCGATGGTGTATGGGCTGGAGGACACGCGAGGGCTTGAGACCAGCTCAGGTGTGATAAGGTGGCACTTTTACCTGAGTTGGAATTCAGGAATCTATCAGGGCGATACCTCTCCCACACTGGCTGGGACATCAGTGGGCTGTTTTCGAAATAGCCATCTCCACTGCAGGAAAGGAGAGACTCTCAGGCCTCTGCCGTGCACAGGCTCTTGCCTCGCGGTTGCAAGGCGTCCATTCATCCCGCTAGCCGGTCAGCAGCTGGTCAACCAGCTAGGCGGGCAGTGGGTCAGTGGGTCAGCCAGCCCCCATCGTCAAGCCCCAGCACTGAGCAGGAGAGGGGACAAGATGGCTGGGCAGAGGTAGGAGGCTCTAACCGATTCCACATCTGATCGCTAGCTGCAAGAAACTGGCAGGTCCGCTTGGTCATGAGACAGGGGCGTGAAAACAACAGAGTTCAGGCCTCATTTCTGTTTGTTTCCCTTCAACAAGCAGAGGGTTTGGAGCGGGACAGACTCTAGGGACAGTGTATTGTGATGGTTAAGACCCAGTTTCTGGAGTTAGGCAGTGATGGATTCAACTGCTGATCCCCCCACTTACTAGCTTGGTGACCACAGACAAGTTACTGACCCTCTCTGATTCTTAGTTTTCACATCTGTATAAAAGGGATTACAGTGGCATCTACCTCACTGTATTGTGAGGATTAAATGCAGTAACATCTGCAAATCCCTCAGAACTGAGTGAGGCCTTGATACAACAGATGCTGCCACTGCTGCCACCACCACCACCACCATCGCCAGCACTACCACCACCACCACCATCATCGTCACCACCAACACTACCATCACCATCACCATCACCACCACCACCACCAACACTACCACCACCATCACCATCACCACCACCATCACCATCACCACCACCATCACCATCACCACCACCATCGCCACCACCATCATCACCATCACCATCACCACCACCATCATCACCATCACCACCACCATCACCACCACCACCATCATCACCATCACCATTACCATTGCCACCACCATCACCACCACCATCACCACCACCACCATCATCACCATTGCCACCACCATCACCACCATCACCACCACCATCGCCACCACCACCACCACCACCATCACCATCACCACCATCACTGCCACCCCCAACACTACCACCATCGCCACCACCACCATCACCACCACCACCACCATCACCACCATCATTGCCACCACCATCATCACCACCATCACCACCACCACCACCATCACCACCACCACCATCGCCACCATCACCCCCAACACCACCACCATCACCACCATCACCACCACCATCACCACCATCACCACCACCACTGCCACCTCCACTGCCACTACCACTACCACCACCACCACCACCACCACTATCGCCATCACCGTCCCCAGGTGTGGGGTCCGAGCATGGCCCGGGAAGGAGGAAAGCCTGGAGCAGCCGCCTGCAGCCCCACCCTGGGTGCCTGCTGCAGAGTGGGGACTCTTGGGCTTTTCCTCCTCCCTGACACAAGCAGGATGATGCACCCCTGCGTGACACCTTCCTTGGGTGTACCTGGACCGTGTGAAATTCCTAGAGTTGGGTAATTCCCCTCCTTTCTCCTTCATAGCACACCAAGAAACTAGTGAAAGCAGTGTAATCAAAGGGGTAACCTGAACACACTCAATGTAAGAGAAGACATTTGCAGCAATTATCAAGAACAAAAGACATGTGGCCTTCGTACTGATTGCCACACCCCAGCATATGGGAACAGAGATGGCGCACTGCTACATCGGAGACAGCCTCCCACACACGGGAATCCACATTTCAACCGCCCACAGCCCCGTGCCTCCTCTCTCCCTTCACCACCGGCTCCATATAAGCTTTTGGGTGCCCCCTGGATAAGTGGGTAATTCTCAGGAAGTCAGGAAGGCAGATTCTAGCCTCAGATGTCTGGGTTCAAATCTCCATGTTGCCACTTCCCAGCTCTGGGACTTTAGGCAAATTGCTAGTCTATTTGTATCTCAGTTTCCTGATCTGTAGAATGGGGATGATAAATAGTATCTGCCTCGTGGGGTGGCTGTGATCATGACATGCAGTAATGTACACGAAGTGTTAGTGTCATCAGTCTTGGCTGTTATTATCACGATATTTGAGAAGGTAAGAGAGGCCAGCTAATGTCAGTGGAAATCAGGGAAGCCAAAGCTCTGGGAATGATTACAACTCACGGGGACTGGGATGGGAAAGGGCATGGCGGACAAATGGGTGATCTTGTCGTGGGAAGCAGCCAGATGCCTGGCCCCAGCGGGAGCTGGAGTCAGCGTGAGTCAGAAGCACCAGCCAGGAGGGTTCCCGCCTTGCCCCAGGATGGGAGTGTGTGTGCAGCGAAAGCCGACTCTACACCCCTCCCTGCCAACTGCTCAGTGCTGACAGCCCCTCCCATCCTACCTAGAGAAGCCCATGAGCACCGGCTTGCCTGAGCGCTGGGCCACGTCCCACTGCATCCCACCGCTCTGGTAGAGAAACAGGGCATAGGACCTGCTCCCGTCCGTGGAGAGGATGGCTTGGTAGGTGTTGCTCTGGGGGTGGGTGGAAGAAAACACAGGGATGCCCGTGAGAGATCCGGGGTCTCCTCTCTTATGTCCCCCCGCCCGTCCCACAGCCCTGCTCTGACACGCACAGCATCTGTTCCTGGTCTGCCCACAGCAAAGACATGGGCCCAAAATGCTGGCAAGTTTTGGGTCAGTGAGGGCAGCTTTCACCCTGGGTGCGAACGCACTTACCACGGTGGATTTGCCTTTTGGTGACTTTCTTCCAGGAGGGGAGATAAAGGGTTCTGGGTTACAATTCAGTTAGATGAGTGTTTGTTAGAGAAAGCTACCAGAACCTGAGATCAGCCAAGATACCAGAGAGCTAGAGAGGAGGCTTCATTAGCTCCCGCGCGGATATTTAAGGACATTGCCCAAATTGTCTCCTCCATCTAAACAGCATGGATGACACTGGGGTTCACTGAAGGCGCACACGTTGTCCACAGTAGGTGACCAGTGAACTTTTGTCGAGTGAATGAAGAAATGAGTGACTTTAGACCAGGCATAAGGAAGAACTTGGTGACTACAAGAGCGGGGTCCTCGGAGGGAGGACAGAGGAGATGGTGTGGCGCACCCTGTGCCCGTTGGATGAGCCTGTGCTTCAGAGCCAGAGGCTGGAGTCAGAAGAAGCTCCACTCAGGCCTGGCTTTGCCATTTGCCAGCGGCGTGACTCTGAACGAGTTACTTAACCTCTCTAACCATTGTCTTCCTCATCTGTAAAATGGGGAGCATAATACCAGACTGAGCCACGTGAAATTGCGAATAGCCAGACATTTTTGACTTACAAAAATGCCACTTGCTATGTTTCAGCCTAATAATACCCGGTTTGCTGGGCTGCTGTGAGGTCAAGTAGGCAAAGGGCCGAGACAGGCCGGGCCCACGGTGAGTGCTCAGCCAACAGTGGTGGCAGTGGGGGGGTGGCGGTGGGGGGGCTTGCTATAATTAGCAATCTTTCCTAGAGCCAGAGAGGATTTTGGAAGAGTGGCCCCTGCCTAGGATTCTAGGATGTCTGACTCCCAGATAGCTCCTGGGAGCTGCCCAGGGGTCTACTCACCCCGAGGGTCCACTGGGCAGGATAGGCGTGGGCATTGACCCACGTGACCTTTAGGGCCCACCTGGCCTTGTAGCCCCCGTTGTTTGTGATCTTTCTAATCCAAGACTCGGCCTGCTGGACTAGCAGGCTGTGTTCACCATAGAACGTCTCGTATTCCTAGGAAAGGAGGGCAGATGAAAACAAGCCAACGAGGGTCCCACTCCTACACATGGGCCCCCCACTTTCTGCCTGAGGACCCTGCCCACTTCAGCCCACCCAATGGCCTGCCCTCCCCTGTCCCAGGCCTGCATTTTTGCCGTGAGCTTTTCTGAGGTGAAGTTCAATTCAAACTTGGGCTGCAGGAAGGCCTGCAGTGTGCAGAATGCAGGGTCGTGGCCCAGACGTCCAAGACCTCTGGACTTGAACTCAAGCATCTTAGCTCAAACTGGCCCAGAGAGCAGAGCCACTCGGGCCCACTTTTACCTCCCCATGCCTAATCTGCAGCTTCTTGAGAACAGGCGTGAGTCTCTTCCTCTTGGAGCCTCCACACTGCCCTGTCCGTGGCAGGGGCACGGTCCACACTTCCTGCAGTAGCTTTCATCACATTTCCTCTGATTGGAGTTATTCACCCAGTCCAGGAGCACAGGACGGGCCCTCTTGACTCACTCTTGTTAGGACAGACCCCCTACAGCCTGATTTTACAATCAAAGGCTGAATTGTCAGCCCCCATCCCCCGTCACCTGCAGGTCTTCTCGTGGCCGGGTTGGGGTATTCCTGGTCAGTCTCGCGGCCGGGTTGGGGTATTCCTGGTCAGTCTCGTGGTTGGGTTGGGGTATTCCTGGTCAGTCTCGTGGCCGGGTTGGGGTATTCCTGGTCAGTCTCGTGGCCGGGTTGGGGTATTCCTGGTCAGTCTCGCGGCCGGGTTGGGGTATTCCTGGTCAGTCTCGCGGCCGGGTTGGGGTATTCCTGGTCAGTCTCGCGGCCGGGTTGGGGTATTCCTGGTCAGTCTCGCGGCCGGGTTGGGGTATTCCTGGTCAGTCTCGCGGCCGGGTTGGGGTATTCCTGGTCAGTCTCGCGGCCGGGTTGGGGTATTCCTGGTCAGTCTCGCGGCCGGGTTGGGGTATTCCTGGTCAGTCTCGCGGCCGGGTTGGGGTATTCCTGGTCAGTCTCGCGGCCGGGTTGGGGTATTCCTGGTCAGTCTCGCGGCCGGGTTGGGGTATTCCTGGTCAGTCTCGCGGCCGGGTTGGGGTATTCCTGGTCAGTCTCGTGGCCGGGTTGGGGTATTCCTGGTCAGTCTCGTGGTTGGGTTGGGGTATTCCTGGTCAGTCTCGCGGCCGGGTTGGGGTATTCCTGGTCAGTCTCGTGGTTGGGTTGGGGTATTCCTGGTCAGTCTCGTGGTTGGGTTGGGGTATTCCTGGTCAGTCTCGTGGTTGGGTTGGAGTATTCCTGGTCAGTCTCGCGGCCGGGTTGGGGTATTCCTGGTCAGTCTCGTGGTTGGGTTGGGGTATTCCTGGTCAGTCTCGTGGTTGGGTTGGGGTATTCCTGGTCAGTCTCGTGGTTGGGTTGGGGTATTCCTGGTCAGTCTCGTGGTTGGGTTGGGGTATTCCTGGTCAGTCTCGTGGTTGGGTTGGGGTATTCCTGGTCAGTCTCGTGGTTGGGTTGGGGTATTCCTGGTCAGTCTCGTGGTTGGGTTGGGGTATTCCTGGTCAGTCTTGTGGTTGGGTTGGGGTATTCCTGGTCAGTCTCGCGGCCGGGTTGGGGTATTCCTGGTCAGTCTCGTGGTTGGGTTGGGGTATTCCTGGTCAGTCTCGTGGTTGGGTTGGGGTACTCCTGAGTCAGCTTAATGTCCCTTGACTGCTTCCTCCCACACCCATATTTAAGCCTCAGTCCCCTGCTGCAGGGGCTGTCACAGCAGCAACTCTGGCAAAGCCTTCCACACAGCTCTTTGTCTCCCCTGCCAGCTGCTGGGGGATCCTGACTGCCAGGCTTTGAAAGGCTCACCTGATAAAATGTGGTCCCCCGACCAGTGGAGAAGTCAGCATCGTCCCAGAACGGAGCCACCAGGGCCACAGGGTCCCGGCCTGTGAAGCCTGTTGGGAGTGGGTTGGGGTAGGAGAAAATCTGGTAGTCTGACTCTGGGAAGATGATCTGGCCATTGTCTGTGAACTGAGCACATGGGTTTTGTGGTCAGCATTCAGGGAGGGAAGTGGGGAGGAAAGTCCCAGCCTTGGTCCAGCTCCTCAAAAGCGTGACCCCCAAGGGTAGAGCTTTAGAGATGCTAACAACCCCTGGAAGTCACCTCCTGTGTCCTGTTTTGGGGAGAGCCCTTTCCATATAATCTCACAGAATGCTCCGCCCTCAGGCCATCCCTTGCGTCCTCGGGTGGTAGGCTTGGTCCTGTTTCACTGCAGATCCCTGGCCGTGGACCAGCCCCTCACAGGCACACCCCTCTTGGCCAGTCCCCTGGGCCCCATCCTGAAGTTTGCGACACATTAGGTGGGGCTCAGGGAGTGGAACCCTCTCTCCATCGCTCAGTGGGTGGAGCCCTCCCTCCGTCGCTCAGGGGTGTAGACACCCTCTCTCCATCGCTCAGGGGTGCAGACACCCCATCTCCATCACTTAGGGGGTGGAACCCTCTATCTATTGCTCAGCAGGTGTAGACACCCTCTCTCCATCGCTCAGGGGTGTAGACACCCTCCCTTCATCGCTCAGGGGTGTAGACACCCTCCCTTCATCGCTCAGGGGTGTAGACACCCTCCCTTCATCGCTCAGGGGTGTAGACACCCTCTCTCCATCGCTCAGGGGTGTAGACACCCTCCCTTCATCGCTCAGGGGTGTAGACACCCTCCCTTCATCGCTCAGGGGTGTAGACACCCTCTCTCCACCGCTCAGGGGTGTAGACACCCTCTCTCCATCGCTCAGGGGTGCAGACACCCCATCTCCATCACTTAGGGGGTGGAAACCTCTCTCTATCACTCAGCAGGTGTGGACACCCTCTCTCCATCCCTCAGGGGTGTAGACACCCTCCCTTCATCGCTCAGGGGTGTAGACATCCTCTCTCCATCGCTCAGGGGTGTAGACACCCTCTCTCCATCGCTCAGGGGTGTAGACACCCCCTCTCCATCGCTCAGGGGTGTAGACACCCCCTCTCCATCGCTCAGGGGTGTAGACACCCTCTCTCCATCGCTCAGGGGTATAGACACCCTCCCTTCATCGCTCAGGGGTGCTCAGGGCTATAGACACCCTCCCTTCATCGCTCAGGGGTGTAGACACCCTCTCTCCATCGCTCAGGGGTGTAGATACCCTCTCTCCATCGCTCAGGGGTGTAGACACCCTCTCTCCATCGCTCAGGGGTGTGGACACCCTCTCTCCATCGCTCAGGGGTGTAGACACCCTCCCTTCATCGCTCAGGGGTGTGGACACCCTCTCTATCGTTCGGGGTGTAGACATCCTCTCTCCATCGCTCAGGGGTGTAGACACCCCCTCTCCATCGCTCAGGGGTGTAGACACCCTCTCTCCATCGCTCAGGGGTGCAGACACCCCATCTCCATCACTTAGGGGGTGGAAACCTCTCTCTATCACTCAGCAGGTGTAGACACCCTCTCTCCATCGCTCAGGGGTGCAGACACCCCATCTCCATCACTTAGGGGGTGGAAACCTCTCTCTATCGCTCAGCAGGTGTAGGCACCCCCCTCCATCGCTCAGGGGTGTAGACACCCTCTCTCCATCACTCAGGGGTGCAGACACCCCATCTCCATCACTTAGGGGGTGGAAACCTCTCTCTCACTCAGCAGGTGTGGACACCCTCTCTCCATCGCTCAGCAGGTGTGGACACTCTCTCTCTATCACTCAGCAGGTGTGGACACCCTCTCTCCATCGCTCAGCAGGTGTGGACACCCTCTCTCTATCGCTCAGCAGGTGTGGACACCCTCTCGCCATCGCTCAGCAGGTGTGGACACCCTCTCTCTATCGCTCAGCAGGTGTGGACACCCTCTCGCCATCGCTCAGCAGGTGTGGACACCCTCTCTCTATCGCTCAGCAGGTGTGGACACCCTCTCCATCGCTCAGTCGCCCTCTCATGCTGTGTTCGGACTCAGCCTCCTCCCTCAGGGCCACAGGAGCCAGGACTGTCCCTCCAACTCTGCTCCAGGAGGCAGGGACCAGGGGGCCAGAGACAAATCCCAGAAGGTGGAAACGGCAGGAACAGTCCAGTTTCCCAAGTGTAGCTTTTTACTCCTGAGAAGGCCCCGCAGAAGCAGCGGTGGGCCCAGCAGGTGGGCAGCCCTCGCCTGGCACCCTGTGTTCCTCAGGCAGAGGCCTGACATTAAGGAGGCTGTGGGGATGGACGAGGGGCCCAGCCAAGGCTGCTTCCATTCCCGCTTCCTCTGGGTTCCGTCTCGAAGCAGGAGAGAGAAGTGGGCCCTGGGAGTTCAGGCTGCACGGGCCGCAGCCCGGACTCACGTAGAGGGAATCACGGAGAGAGGAGCCAAGGGGGAAGCCAGTCGCCGGCTTGAAGAGTGGGGAGGTGAAGTCCACGGTCCTCCTGACGAACTCCAGGTCCCCGGCGTCTGCCCCATAGGGGAAGAGGGAAACTCCTGGGCCAGGACAGAGAAGAGCAGGAAGTCCAAGTGGGCCTGGGCCTTCTTTAGGGCTGAAAGGGATCCCAGAGCGCTCCCCGCAGGCTGCCCACACCTGTCCTGTGTTCCCCGAGGGCCCCAGAGGCAGCCATCTAGGGTGCTTCTCGCTCCCTCTCCACCCACATTAAATGCATGTGGTCATTTTACTCCCTAAACTGCGCCTCTCATCCTTCCCCAGCTTGGAGAAAAACAGGTCCTGCTGTCAGAATACCAGCAAACGATTCTCAATCTCTTAGTCTCAATCCTTTTCAGGGTTAAAAGACAAAAGTCTATGCTGGGTGCGGTGGCTCACGCCTGTAATCCCAGCACTTTGGGAGGCTGAGGCGGGAGGATCACGAGGTCAGGAGTTCGAGACCAGCCTGACCAACATGGAGAAGCCCTGTCTCTACTTAAAATACAAAAATTAGCCGGGTGTGGTGGCGCATGCCTGTAATCCCAGCCACTCGGGAGGCTGAGGCAGGAGAATTGCTTGAACCCGGGAGGCTGAGGTTCCAGTGAGCTGAGATCGCGCCACTGCACTCCAGCCTGGGCAACAAGAGCGAAAACTCCATCTCAAAAAAAAAAAAAAAAAAATAGACAAAAGTCCAGCGCAATGAAGATGAGTAACTGCAAAGCCCTTTTCAGGGAATGAGACTTGTTTCCTAAGACGGCCTTTCTCCAGATAAACTTGAAGACTCCTCCAATTTAACCTAGGACTCCCTAGAGGCCCTCGGGCTCCAGTGTGAGAAACCTTGTCCCAAATATTTCTCGCAGCTGCCGACTCCTTGGCGCCCTCCCCTGGTCCTGCTTGGAAACCCGCAGGCTCTCCTGGCCTCCTCACTGCCTGCAAATCGGACCGCTCCAGGCACCACTTGTTAAATGCCATTTGTACAATGCAAAACTGAGTCCTCCCTGGCTCCCGTTGCCTACAGGATTCCCCGCATGCCGGCCGCACTTTTTGCTACCCTTCTTCTCATTTTCAGCCACCCCAAATGCTTCGGGGATCCACTCCCCATGCAGCACCGGGACGACTTTCTGCAGCCATACCTACCACACTCGTACCTTCCACACCCATACCTTCCACACCCATACCTTCCACAGTCATACCTTCCACACCCATACCTTCCACACCCATACCTTCCACAGTCATACCTTCCACACCCATACCTTCCACAGTCATACCTTCCACACCCATACCTTCCACGGCCATACCTTCCACACCCATACCTTCCACACCCATACCTTCCACACCCATACCTTCCACGCCCATACCTTCCACACCCATACCTTCCACAGTCATACCTTCCACACCCATACCTTCCACACCCATACCTTCCACACCCATACCTTCCACACCCATACCTTCCACGCCCATACCTTCCACGCCCATACCTTCCACAGTCATACCTTCCACACCCATACCTTCCACACCCATACCTTCCACACCCATACCTTCCACACCCATACCTTCCACACCCATACCTTCCACAGTCATACCTTCCACAGTCATACCTTCCACATCCATACCTTCCACACCCATACCTTCCACACCCATACCTTCCACGCCCATACCTTCCACGCCCATACCTTCCACAGTCATACCTTCCACACCCATACCTTCCACACCCATACCTTCCACGGCCATACCTTCCACACCCATACCTTCCACACCCATACCTTCCACATCCATACCTTCCACGGCCATACCTTCCACACCCATACCTTCCACGGCCATACCTTCCACAGTCATACCTTCCACACCCATACCTTCCACAGTCATACCTTCCACACCCATACCTTCCACACCCATACCTTCCACACCCATACCTTCCACGGCCATACCTTCCACACCCATACCTTCCACACCCATACCTTCCACGCCCATACCTTCCACACCCATACCTTCCACAGTCATACCTTCCACACCCATACCTTCCACACCCATACCTTCCACACCCATACCTTCCACACCCATACCTTCCACACCCATACCTTCCACAGTCATACCTTCCACGGCCATACCTTCCACACCCATACCTTCCACAGTCATACCTTCCACACCCATACCTTCCACACCCATACCTTCCACAGCCATACCTTCCACAGTCATACCTTCCACACCCATACCTTCCACATCCATACCTTCCACACCCATACCTTCCACAGTCATACCTTCCACACCCATACCTTCCACACCCATACCTTCCACACCCATACCTTCCACACCCATACCTTCCACACCCTTACCTTCCACACCCATACCTTCCACACCCATACCTTCCACACCCATACCTTCCACGCCCATACCTTCCACAGTCATACCTTCCACACCCATACCTTCCACGGCCATACCTTCCACACCCATACCTTCCACAGTCATACCTTCCACACCCATACCTTCCACACCCATACCTTCCACACCTATACCTTCCACAGTCATACCTTCCACACCCATACCTTCCACACCCATACCTTCCACACCCATACCTTCCACATCCATACCTTCCACACCCATACCTTCCACACCCATACCTTCCACACCCATACCTTCCACGCCCATACCTTCCACGCCCATACCTTCCACAGTCATACCTTCCACACCCATACCTTCCACACCCATACCTTCCACAGTCATAACTTCCACACCCATACCTTCCACGGCCATACCTTCCACACCCATACCTTCCACGGCCATACCTTCCACACCCATACCTTCCACACCCATACCTTCCACACCCATACCTTCCACACCCATACCTTCCACGGCCATACCTTCCACACCCATACCTTCCACAGTCATACCTTCCACACCCATACCTTCCACACCCATACCTTCCACACCCATACCTTCCACGGCCATACCTTCCACACCCATACCTTCCACACCCTTACCTTCCACACCCATACCTTCCACACCCATACCTTCCACAGTCATACCTTCCACACCCATACCTTCCACAGTCATACCTTCCACACCCATACCTTCCACAGTCATACCTTCCACACCCATACCTTCCACACCCATACCTTCCACACCCATACCTTCCACACCCATACCTTCCACACCCATACCTTCCACAGTCATACCTTCCACACCCATACCTTCCACAGTCATACCTTCCACACCCATACCTTCCACAGTCATACCTTCCACACCCATACCTTCCACAGTCATACCTTCCACACCCATACCTTCCACACCCATACCTTCCACACCCATACCTTCCACGGCCATACCTTCCACACCCATACCTTCCACACCCATACCTTCCACACCCATACCTTCCACACCCATACCTTCCACAGTCATACCTTCCACACCCATACCTTCCACAGTCATACCTTCCACACCCATACCTTCCACAGTCATACCTTCCACACCCATAGCTTCCACAGTCATACCTTCCACACCCATACCTTCCACACCCATACCTTCCACACCCATACCTTCCACGGCCATACCTTCCACACCCATACCTTCCACACCCATACCTTCCACACCTTTGTTCCAGCTGTTCCCGCCCTCCTCCCTGCCTGGGGTGCTCCTCCATCCCCGGCTCTGCATTCCTTAGGGCCTTCCATTGTGTGCACTTAGACCCTGGGATGAGTCCTCTAACCGCCGCTACCGGACCGTCCATCTATCCCTTGCTGAATGGCACTGGGGTCATTTCTCTGTCTCCAGCTCCTGGCCCAGTGCCATGCACAAAGCCAGCCCTCAGGAGCGACTCCGATGCTGTGTCCCTGTCCTCGGTAAGGCTCTCCCCACCCGAGAGAGCAGAGACTGTGGGAAGTAGGCTGAGAGGGAGCCTTCAGTTACATCACCCCTCAAAAGGCACAGGCCTCACCTGTATGGCCTCACCTCTCTCAGGCAGGATGGGGATGGGGGCAGCTGTGGAGCGGGTGTGCATGGCAGTGCTGGGAATGGTGGAAATGATGGTCTGGGAGGTTGTGGGGGGTGGTGATGTGGCTGTGCGTCTCCCACCGTCTGTCTTCAGTGACGGTGTTGTCATTCCTGGACACGTGAAAAGACAAGGCGGGGTGTTTCTTACAGTAACAAAACAGGAGAGTCAAAGAGATTCAAAGAAATCAGGAGCTGGAAGAGAGAGCTGGAAACTCCTTGTCTCTCCCCTGCTCATATCCAAACTACTCTCGACATCAGTGCTTTTCGATTGCGGCACAAAGGAGGGTGAGCCTGTCACCCACCACACCCATCACCTCCTCCCCTGTGGGACCTGACACGGCCCCACCAGGTAATGCGAATGCACCAGTGTTCTCAGGTACTCCTTAGGCTGAATTCCGCCAAGGGGCCCACTGGGAGACATAAAGGCGAGGCAGTTGGCAGCTACCTGATGTTTCCATCTTCAGAGGGGAGTCCGAGGATACTGTGGAAGCTGAGGTAGCACTGCTGACAGCAAGAGGGGTGGCGTGACCTGTGGATACTGAGGAAAGGCTGGTGACAGGAAGAGGGGTGGCCTGACCTGTGGATGCTGAGGAAGTGTCGGTGACAGGAAGAGGGGTGGTGTCACCTGTGGATGCTGAGGAAGTGTCGGTGACAGGAAGAGGCGTGGCGTGACCTGTGGACACTGAGGAAGCGTCGGTGACAGGAAGAGGGGTGGCGTGACCTGTGGATGCTGAGGAAGTGCTGGTGACAGGAAGAGGGGTGGCCTGACCTGTGGATGATGAGGAAGTGCTGGTGACAGGAAGAGGGGTGGCCTGACCTGTGGATGATGAGGAAGGGCTGGTGACATGAAGAGGGGTGACGTGACCTGTAGATACTGAGGAAGTGCTGGTGACAGGAAGAGGGGTGGTGTGACCTGAGGATGATGAGGAAGGGATGGTGACAGGAAGAGAGGTGGCGTGACCTGTGGATACTGAGGAAGTGTTGGTGACAAGAAGAGGGGTGGTGTCACCTGTGGATACTGAGGAAAGGCTGGTGACAGGAAGAGGGGTGGCCTGACCTGTGGATGCTGAGGAAGTGTCCGTGACAGGAAGACGGGTGGTGTCACCTGTGGATGCTGAGGAAGTGTCGGTGACAGGAAGAGGGGTGGCGTGACCTGTGGATACTGAGGAAGCGTCGGTGACAAGAAGAGGGGTGGTGTCACCTGTGGATACTGAGGAAAGGCTGGTGACAGGAAGAGGGGTGGCCTGACCTGTGGATGCTGAGGAAGTGTCGCTGACAGGAAGAGAGGTGGTGTGACCTGAGGATGCTGAGGAAGGGATGGTGACAGGAAGAGGCGTGGTGTCACCTGTTGATACTGAGGAAAGGCTGGTGACAGGAAGAGGGGTGGCCTGACCTGTGGATGCCGAGGAAGCGTCGGTGACAGGAAGAGGGGTGGTGTCACCTGTGGATGCTGAGGAAGTGTCGGTGACAGGAAGAGGGGTGGCGTGACCGGTGGATGCCGAGGAAGCGTCGGTGACAGGAAGAGGGGTGGTGTCACCTGTGGATACTGAGGAAAAGCTGGTGACAGGAAGAGGGGTGGCGTGACCTGTGGATACTGAGGAAGTGTCGGTGACAGGAAGAGGGGTGGCGTGACCGGTGGATGCTGAGGAAGCGCCGGTGACAGGAAGAGTGCTGGTGTCACCTGTGGATGCTGAGGAAGGGATGGTGACATGAAGAGGGGTGGTGTGTCCTGTGGATAATGAGGAAGCATTGGTGACAGGAAGAGGGGTGGTGTCACCTGTGGATGCTGAGGAAGTGTCGGTGACAGGAAGAGGGGTGGTGTGACCTGTAGATGCTGAGGAAGGGCTGGTGACAGGAAGAGGGGTGGTGTGACCTGTGGATGCTGAGGAAGTGCTGGTGACAGGAACAGGGGTGGCGTGACCGGTGGATGCTGAGGAAGTGCTGGTGACAGGAAGAGGGGTGGCGTGACCTGTGGATGCTGAGGAAGGGCTAGTGACAGGAAGAGGCATGGTGTCACCTGTGGATACTGAGGAAGTGTTGGTGACAGGAAGAGGGGTGGCCTGACCTGTGGATGCCGAGGAAATGTCGGTGACAGGAAGACGGGTGGTGTCACCTGTGGAAGCTGAGGAAAGGCCGGTGACAGGAAGAGGGGTGGCGTGACCTGTGGATACTGAGGAAGTGTCGGTGACAGGCACAGGGGTGGTGTCACCTGTGGATGCTGAGGAAGTCTCGGTGACAAGAAGAGGGGTGGTGTCACCTGTGGATGATGAGGAAGTGTCGGTGACAGGAAGAGAGGTGGTGTCACCTGTGTATGCTGAGGAAGTGTCGGTGACAGGAAGAGAGGTGGTGTCACCTGTGGATGCTGAGGAAGTGTCGGTGACAGGAAGAGAGGTGGCATGACCGGTGGATGCTGAGGAAGGGCTAGTGACAGGAAGAGGCGTGGTGTCACCTGTGGATACTGAGGAAAGGCTGGTGACAGGAAGAGGGGTGGCCTGACCTGTGGATGCTGAGGAAGCGTCGGTGACAAGAAGAGGAGTGGCGTGACCTGTGGATGCTGAGGAAGGGCTAGTGACAGGAAGAGGCGTGGTGTCACCTGTGGATACTGAGGAAAGGCTGGTGACAGGAAGAGGGGTGGCGTGACCTGTGGATGCTGAGGAAGTGTCGGTGACAGGAAGCGGGGTGGCGTGACCGGTGGATGCTGAGGAAGGGCTGGTGACATGAAGAGGGGTGGCGTGACCTGTGGATGCTGAGGAAGTGTCGGTGACAGGAAGAGAGGTGGCGTGACCTGTGGATGCTGAGGAAGTGTCGGTGACAGGAAGAGGGGTGGTGTCACCTGTGGATACTGAGGAAAGGCTGGTGACAGGAAGAGGGGTGGCCTGACCTGTGGATGCTGAGGAAGTGTCGGTGACAGGAAGAGGCGTGGTGTCACCTGTGGATACTGAGGAAAGGCTGGTGAGAGGAAGAGGGGTAGCGTGACCTGTGGACACTGAGGAAGCGTCGGTGACAGGAAGAGGGGTGGCGTGACCTGTGGACACTGAGGAAGCGTCGGTGACAGGAAGAGAGGTGGCGTGACCTGTGGACACTGACGAAGCGTCGGTGACAGGAAGAGGGGTGGTGTGACCTGTGGATGCTGAGGAAGGGCTGGTGACATGAAGAGGGGTGGCGTGACCTGTGGATACTGAGGAAGTGTTGGTGACAGGAAGAGGGGTGGCATGACCTGTGGATGCTGAGGAAGTGTCGGTGACAGGAAGAGGGGTGGTGTCACCTGTGGATGCTGAGGAAGTGCTGGTGACAGGAAGAGGGGTGGCGTGACCTGTGGATGCTGCGGAAGTGTCGGTAACAGGAAGAGGGGTGGCGTGACCGGTGGATGCTGAGGAAGGGCTGGTGACATGAAGAGAGGTGGCGTGACGTGTGGATAATGAGGAAGCATTGGTGACAGGAAGAGGGGTGGTGTCACCTGTGGATGCTGAGGGAGTGTCGGTGACAGGTAGAGGGGTGGTGTGACCTGTAGATGCTGAGGAAGGGCTGGTGACAGGAAGACGGGTGGTGTCACCTGTGGATACTGACGAAGCGTCGGTGACAAGAAGAGGGGTGGTGTGACCTGTGGATACTGAGGAAGTGTCGGTGCCAGGAAGAGGGGTGGTGTCACCTGTGGATGCTGAGGAAGTGCTGGTGACAGGAAGAGGGGTGGCATGACCTGTGGATGCCGAGGAAACGTCGGTGACAGGAAGACGGGTGGTGTCACCTGTGGAAGCTGAGGAAAGGCCGGTGACAGGAAGATGGGTGGCGTGACCTGTGGATGCTGAGGAAGTGTCGGTGACAGGAAGAGGGGTGGTGTCACCTGTGGATGCTGAGGAAGCGTCGGTGACAGGAAGAGGGGTGGTGTGACCTGAGGATGCTGAGGAAGGGCTGGTGACAGGAAGAGGGGTGGTGTCACCTGTGGATACTGAGGAAGCGTCGGTGACATGAAGAGGGGTGGCGTGACCTGTGGATGCTGAGGAAGGGCTAGTGACAGGAAGAGGCGTGGTGTCACCTGTGGATGCTGAGGAAAGGCTGGTGACAGGAAGAGGGGTGGCGTGACCTGTGGATGCTGAGGAAGGGCTGGTGACATGAAGAGGGGTGGCGTGACCTGTGGATGCTGAGGAAGGGCTAGTGACAGGAAGAGGGGTGGTGTCACCTGTGGATACTGAGGAAAGGCTGGTGACAGGAAGAGAGGTGGCGTGACCTGTGGACACTGAGGAAGCATCGGTGACAGGAAGAGGGGTGGTGTCACCTGTGGATGCTGAGGAAAGGCTGGTGACAGGAAGAGGGGTGGCCTGTCCTGTGGATGCTGAGGAAGTGTCGGTGACAAGAAGAGGGATGGCGTGACCTGTGGATGCTGAGGAAGGGCTGGTGACAGGAAGAGGGGTGGCCTGACCTGTGGATGCTGAGGAAGTGTCGGTGACAGGAAGAGAGGTGGCGTGACCTGTGGATGCTGAGGAAGTGTCAGTGACAGGAAGAGAGGTGGCGTGACCTGTGGATACTGAGGAAGTGTCGGTGACAGGAAGAGGGGTGGTGTCACCTGTGGATGCTGAGGAAGGGCTGGTGACAGGAAGAGGGGTGGTGTCCCCTGTGGATAATGAGGAAGCATCGGTGACATGAAGAGCGGTGGCGTGACCTGTGGATACTGAGGAAGCGTCGGTGACAAGAAGAGAGGTGGCGTGACCTGTGGATACTGAGGAAGCGTCGGTGACAAGAAGATGGGTGGCGTGACCTGTGGATGCTGAGGAAGGGCTAGTGACAGGAAGAGGCGTGGTGTCACCTGTGGATACTGAGAAAAGGCTGGTGACAGGAAGAGGGGTGTCCTGACCTGTGGATGCTGAGGAAGTATCAGTGACAGGAAGCGGCGTGGTGTCACCAGTGGATGATGCTGAGGAAAGGCTGGTGACAGGAAGAGGGGTGGCCTGTCCTGTAGATACTGAGGAAGTGTCGGTGACCGGAAGAGGGGTGGCATGACCTGTGGACACTGAGGAAGCGTCGGTGACAGGAAGAGGGGTGGCGTGACCTGTGGACACTGAGGAAGCGTCGGTGACAGGAAGAGAGGTGGCGTGACCTGTGGGTACTGAGGAAGCGTCGGTGACAGGAAGAGGGGTGGTGTGACCTGAGGATGCTGAGGAAGGGATGGTGACAGGAAGAGAGGTGGCGTGACCTGTGGACACTGAGGAAGCGTCGGTGACAGGAAGAGAGGTGGTGTGACCTGAGGATGCTGAGGAAGGGCTAGTGACAGGAAGAGGCGTGGTGTCACCTGTGGATGCTGAGGAAAGGCTGGTGACAGGAAGAGAGGTGGCGTGACCTGTGGATACTGAGGAAGCGTCGGTGACATGAAGAGGGGTGGTGTCACCTGTGGATGCTGAGTTAGTGTCGGTGACAGGAAGAGGGGTGGTGTCACCTGTGGATACTGAGGAAGCGTCGGTGACAAGAAGAGAGGTGGCGTGACCTGTGGACACTGAGGAAGCGTCGGTGACAGGAAGAGAGGTGGTGTGACCTGAAGATGCTGAGGAAGGGATGGTGACAGGAAGAGAGGTGGTGTCACCTGTGGATGCTGAGGAAGCGTCGGTGACAGGAAGAGGGGTGGTGTCACCTGTGGATGCTGAGGAAGGGCTGGTGACAGGAAGAGGGATGGCCTGACCTGTGGATGCCGAGGAAACGTCGGTGACAGGAAGACGGGTGGTGTCATCTGTGGAAGCTGAGGAAAGGCCGGTGACAGGAAGTGGGGTGGCGTGAGCTGTGGATACTGAGGAAGTGTCGGTGACAGGAAGAGGGGTGGCCTGACCTGTGGATGCTGAGGAAGCGTCAGTGACAAGAAGAGGGCTGGCGTGACCTGTGGATGCTGAGGAAGGGCTAGTGACAGGAAGAGGCGTGGTGTCACCTGTGGATACTGAGGAAAGGCTGGTGACAGGAAGAGGGGTGGCCTGACCTGTGGATGCCGAGGACACGTCGGTGACAGGAAGACGGGTGGTGTCATCTGTGGTAGCTGAGGAAAGGCCGGTGACAGGAAGAGGGGTGGCATGACCTGTGGATACTGAGGAATTGTCGGTGACAGGAAGAGGGGTGGCGTGACCGGTGGATGCTGAGGAAGTGCTGGTGACAGGAAGAGGGGTGGCGTGACCGGTGGATGCTGAGGAAGTGCTGGTGACAGGAAGAGGGGTGGCGTGACCTGTGGATGCTGAGGAAGGGCTGGTGACATGAAGAGGGGTGGCGTGACCTGTGGATAATGAGGAAGCATTGGTGACAGGAAGAGGGGTGGTGTCACCTGTGGATGCTGAGGAAGTGTCGGTGACAGGAAGAGGGGTGGTGTGACCTGTAGATGCTGAGGAAGGGCTGGTGACAGGAAGAGGGGTGGTGTCACCTTTGGATGCTGAGGAAGTGTCGGTGACAGGAAGAGGGGTGGTGTGACCTGTAGATGCTGAGGAAGGGCTGGTGACAGGAAGAGGGGTGGTGTGACCTGTGGATACTGAGGAAGTGTCGGTGACAGGAAGAGGGGTGGTGTCACCTGTGGATGCTGAGGAAAGGCTGGTGACAGGAAGAGGGGTGGCGTGACCTGTGGATGCTGAGGAAGGGCTGGTGACATGAAGAGGAGTGACGTGACCTGTGGATGCTGAGGAAGTGCTAGTGACAGGAAGAGGCGTGGTGTCACCTGTGGATACTGAGGAAGTGTCGGTGACAAGAAGAGAGGTGGCCTGACCTGTGGATGCTGAGGAAGTGTCGGTGACAGGAAGAGGGGTGGTGTGACCTGTGGATACTGAGGAAGCATCGGTGACATGAAGAGGGGTGGTGTGACCTGTAGATGCTGAGGAAGGGCTGGTGACAGGAAGACGGGTGGTGTCACCTGTGGATACTGACGAAGCGTCGGTGACAAGAAGAGGGGTGGTGTGACCTGTGGATACTGAGGAAGTGTCGGTGCCAGGAAGAGGGGTGGTGTCACCTGTGGATGCTGAGGAAGTGCTGGTGACAGGAAGAGGGGTGGCATGACCTGTGGATGCCGAGGAAACGTTGGTGACAGGAAGACGGGTGGTGTCACCTGTGGAAGCTGAGGAAAGGCCGGTGACAGGAAGATGGGGGGCGTGACCTGTGGATGCTGAGGAAGTGTCGGTGACAGGAAGAGGGGTGGTGTCACCTGTGGATGCTGAGGAAAGGCTGGTGACAGGAAGAGGGGTGGCCTGTCCTGTAGATACTGAGGAAGTGTCGGTGACCGGAAGAGGGGTGGCATGACCTGTGGACACTGAGGAAGCGTCGGTGACAGGAAGAGGGGTGGCGTGACCTGTGGACACTGAGGAAGCGTCGGTGACAGGAAGAGAGGTGGCGTGACCTGTGGGTACTGAGGAAGCGTCGGTGACAGGAAGAGGGGTGGTGTGACCTGAGGATGCTGAGGAAGGGCTAGTGACAGGAAGAGGCGTGGTGTCACCTGTGGATGCTGAGGAAAGGCTGGTGACAGGAAGAGAGGTGGCGTGACCTGTGGATACTGAGGAAGCGTCGGTGACATGAAGAGGGGTGGTGTCACCTGTGGATGCTGAGTTAGTGTCGGTGACAGGAAGAGGGGTGGTGTCACCTGTGGATACTGAGGAAGCGTCGGTGACAAGAAGAGAGGTGGCGTGACCTGTGGACACTGAGGAAGCGTCGGTGACAGGAAGAGAGGTGGTGTGACCTGAAGATGCTGAGGAAGGGATGGTGACAGGAAGAGAGGTGGTGTCACCTGTGGATGCTGAGGAAGCGTCGGTGACAGGAAGAGGGGTGGTGTCACCTGTGGATGCTGAGGAAGGGCTGGTGACAGGAAGAGGGATGGCCTGACCTGTGGATGCCGAGGAAACGTCGGTGACAGGAAGACGGGTGGTGTCATCTGTGGAAGCTGAAGAAAGGCCGGTGACAGGAAGTGGGGTGGCGTGAGCTGTGGATACTGAGGAAGTGTCGGTGACAGGAAGAGGGGTGGCCTGACCTGTGGATGCTGAGGAAGCGTCAGTGACAAGAAGAGGGCTGGCGTGACCTGTGGATGCTGAGGAAGGGCTAGTGACAGGAAGAGGCGTGGTGTCACCTGTGGATACTGAGGAAAGGCTGGTGACAGGAAGAGGGGTGGCCTGACCTGTGGATGCCGAGGAAACGTCGGTGACAGGAAGACGGGTGGTGTCATCTGTGGTAGCTGAGGAAAGGCCGGTGACAGGAAGAGGGGTGGCGTGACCGGTGGATGCTGAGGAAGTGCTGGTGACAGGAAGAGGGGTGGCGTGACCTGTGGATGCTGAGGAAGGGCTGGTGACATGAAGAGGGGTGGCGTGACCTGTGGATAATGAGGAAGCATTGGTGACAGGAAGAGGGGTGGTGTCACCTGTGGATGCTGAGGAAGTGTCGGTGACAGGAAGAGGGGTGGTGTGACCTGTAGATGCTGAGGAAGGGCTGGTGACAGGAAGAGGGGTGGTGTCACCTTTGGATGCTGAGGAAGTGTCGGTGACAGGAAGAGGGGTGGTGTGACCTGTAGATGCTGAGGAAGGGCTGGTGACAGGAAGAGGGGTGGTGTGACCTGTGGATACTGAGGAAGCGTCGGTGACAGGAAGAGGGGTGGTGTCACCTGTGGATGCTGAGGAAGGGCTAGTGACAGGAAGAGGCATGGTGTCACCTGTGGATGCTGAGGAAAGGCTGGTGACAGGAAGAGGGGTGGCGTGACCTGTGGATGCTGAGGAAGGGCTGGTGACATGAAGAGGAGTGACGTGACCTGTGGATGCTGAGGAAGTGCTAGTGACAGGAAGAGGCGTGGTGTCACCTGTGGATACTGAGGAAGTGTCGGTGACAAGAAGAGAGGTGGCCTGACCTGTGGATGCTGAGGAAGTGTCGGTGACAGGAAGAGGGGTGGTGTGACCTGTGGATGCTGCGGAAGGGATGGTTACAGGAAGAGAGGTGGCGTGATCTGTGGACACTGAGGAAGCGTCGGTGACAGGAAGAGGGGTGGCGTGTCCTGTGGATGCTGAGGAAGTGTCGGTGACAAGAAGAGGGGTGGCGTGACCTGTGGATGCTGAGGAAGGGCTAGTGACAGGAAGAGGCGTGGTGTCACCTGTGGATACTGAGGAAAGGCTGGTGACAGGAAGAGGGGTGGCCTGACCTGTGGATGCTGAGGAAGCATCAGTGACATGAAGAGGGGTGGTGTGACCTGTGGATACTGAGGAAGCGTCGGTGACAGGAAGAGGGGTGGTGTCACCTGTGGATGCTGAGGAAGGGCTAGTGACAGGAAGAGGCATGGTGTCACCTGTGGATGCTGAGGAAAGGCTGGTGACAGGAAGAGGGGTGGCGTGACCTGTGGATGCTGAGGAAGGGCTGGTGACATGAAGAGGAGTGACGTGACCTGTGGATGCTGAGGAAGTGCTAGTGACAGGAAGAGGCGTGGTGTCACCTGTGGATACTGAGGAAGTGTCGGTGACAAGAAGAGAGGTGGCCTGACCTGTGGATGCTGAGGAAGTGTCGGTGACAGGAAGAGGGGTGGTGTGACCTGTGGATGCTGCGGAAGGGATGGTTACAGGAAGAGAGGTGGCGTGATCTGTGGACACTGAGGAAGCGTCGGTGACAGGAAGAGGGGTGGCGTGTCCTGTGGATGCTGAGGAAGTGTCGGTGACAAGAAGAGGGGTGGCGTGACCTGTGGATGCTGAGGAAGGGCTAGTGACAGGAAGAGGCGTGGTGTCACCTGTGGATACTGAGGAAAGGCTGGTGACAGGAAGAGGGGTGGCCTGACCTGTGGATGCTGAGGAAGCATCAGTGACATGAAGAGGGGTGGTGTGACCTGTGGATACTGAGGAAGTGTCGGTGACAGGAAGAGAGGTGGCGTGACCTGTGGATGCTGAGGAAGTGTCGGTGACAGGAAGAGGGGTGGTGTGACCTGTGGATACTGAGGAAGTGTCGGTGACAGGAAGAGAGGTGGCGTGACCTGTGGATGCTGAGGAAGTGTCAGTGACAGGAAGAGGGGTGGTGTCACCTGTGGATGCTGAGGAAAGGCTGGTGACAGGAAGAGGGGTGACGTGACCTGTGGATGCTGAGGAAGTGTCAGTGACAGGAAGAGGGGTGCTGTCACCTGTGGATGCTGAGGAAAAGCTGGTGACAGGAAGAGGGGTGACGTGACCTGTGGATTCTGAGGAAGTGTCGGTGACAGGAAGAGGGGTGGTGTGACCTGTGGATACTGAGGAAGGGCTGGTGACAGGAAGAGGGGTGGCGTGACCTGTGGATACTGAGGAAGCATCGGTGACATGAAGAGGGGTGGTGTGACCTGTGGATGCCGAGGAAGCGTAGGTGACAGGAAGAGGGGTGGCGTTGCTGATGAGGGCCGTGGTGAAGGTTTTACCAGACCCTGAAGGTGACAGAGTGTGGGTCTCGGTTTGTGGAGATGTAAGCCCAGTGGATGTGATCGATGGAGGTGTGGGTGGGACTGTTGAGAAGGTGTCGGTTGCCTGGGACGCCAGGCTGATAGTGTCAGACCCTCTGCTGGTTCTTGTCCTCTGAGTCTGGGCCATCCGGGAAATGGCGGCTGTCTCCTGAGGAGAGGCACTGGGAGAAGTTGGGCTTGACTGTCCTGTCGGTCTCCCTGCAGTGGAGGCCTCAGAGAGGGTGGGATGAAAGGTGCCGGGGACGATCGAAGACGCCATTCCTGTGCTTACTGGGATGGCACCATGACTGGCTGAGGCGGACAGCAATTCGGTTGTTGACTGGGTTGTGTGACTGTCCCTGGAGGGGTTTGATGAAAACCTTGTCGTCTCTCCTGAGGTGGATATTCCTTCGCTTCCTGAAGGTGTTGTGCCACTCGCCCCGGATGAGGAAGGGGTAGCTGTGCCCGCTGAGGTGGTTCGTGACCCTGAGGAGGCCGGTTCGCTGGTCTGTGTTTGTCCAGAGGCCTCTGTGCTCTCAGCCTGGTGGGTATGGGTCATGGCTGCTGCTGTGTCAGGTGAGGTGCTGGCAGAGGCTGATGTCCATTGTCCTTCTGGGCCCCCTGGTGTTGACACTACAGAGTTGGCCAGAGTAAGGGCACCTGTTTTGGAAAGTGACGTGCCTCCTGAGGGCCCCAGGGTGGCATCATGGCTGCTGGGTGCTGCCTGCAGTGCTGTGGTCGGGGCCTGGGTTGTGTGACCATCCCCGGTGGGAGCTGGGGCAAAGGTTGTTGCTGCACTTATGGTGGGTGCGTCCTGAGGAACAATTTCTGAGGGCGAGTGCCCACTGGCTGTGAAGGAAGAACCTGGGGTGGTGACTGTCTTGGTGTCAGTCATGGGGGAGACGGACCTCGTGGTTTGTGATTCTTGTGTGGTCTGCGGGGCTTGAGTGTGACCCCTTTGGGAAACAGCTGGTGATTCCTGAGGAGAGGTGCTTGTGGAATGTATTGTTGAATGATTTGTTGATGGTGCCGTTGTAATTTGTTGGGATGTGTGTCTATCCAGCATAGGTGAAGAAGATGGGGATGTGGCCGTTTTTATCATCTGAGTCACACTGTAGCTTGGGCTGCTGAGAAGAGCCTCTCCAGTGGTCCCCGTTTCTTGTGTCCATTGTGTCTGGGCGCCTGCCCCTGTTGTTTTTGGGAGAGTTGTGCTGTGGGAGGAGTATGTGGTGGGCTCTCCTGGTTCCCCTATTGCTGAGACCTTAGAGGGGACCCTTGGAATAGTGCCAGCTGTCCCTGTAGATGGATTTCCTGTGACAAGCCTAGTGGCAGCACCTGTTGATGTTGAGGGCAGTTCTGTTTGTGACCAAGTTGTGTGGCCTTTGCTGGAGAATGAGGAAGGCCATGTTGTTGTTTCATGTAGAGTAAATATTTCTTGAGACACACCTGGAGAGAATGAGCTCCTCTCATGAGGCCGTCCTGTGGTCTCTGCACCTTCACTCTGCTGGGTGTGGAAAGCTGTGGATATTTTTGGAGGTAGAGAACTGGGGGAGAGTGCTGTTGACAGAGTGTCTGACCACCATATGGTTGAAACTTTGGAAGTGATTGCAGAAATGGTTCCACTTACAGATAGTGATGTCTCCTCTGTGTTTCCAAGAGTAGAGTCTCTGGAGGTTGGCATTCTGAACACCTTTGATGTTACCAGGAATGTATTGCTGACACTGGAAGGGGATGAGGTGGTTGTTTCACCAGAAGGGAATGTCTCCTGAGAAACTGTTCCACTTGGGTTGAATCCACTTGGTGAGGATAAAACAGTTGATGTTGTAACCGGTGTGAGGGTGTTGAGGGTGTTGATTTGAGATACTCTGGTGGTCTCCACGCTCTGAGTCTGGTGGTTCTTAGAAAAAGCTGTTGTGTCCTGAGTAGAAGTCCTTGAGAAAGTTGCTGGTGATTGTCCTTCTGGATCAAATGTTACTAAGGCTGCTGAGGTGACTGGCATAAGACTTCCAGTAACAGGTACTGATGATGTCTCCCCTGGGTTTCCAAGAGTGGAGCCTGTGGAGGTTGTCACTGTTATCTTCTCTGATGTCATCATGGATGTGTTTGTGACACTACAGAGGGATGAGGTAGCTGTTTCACCTGAAGGAGATGTCTTCTGAGAAACAGTCCCTGTCACATTGTGTACACTTGGAGAGAAAGAAGGAGTTGAAGTGGTTCTGTGTGTTAGGGTGCTGGTTTGAGATTCCCTGGTGGTCTGCGTGCTCCGAGTCCAGTGGTTCTGAGAAGAAGCTGATGTGTCTTGGATAGAGGTCCTCCAGGAAGTTGTTCGTGATTGTCCTTCCTGTCCAGCTGTTATTGAGACTGCTGAGGTCACTGGGGTAGAACTTTCAGTTCCTGCTGTTGATGTCTCTTCTGTGTTTCCAAGAGTGGAGTCTGTGGAGGTTGTCATTGTTATAGTCTTTGATGTCATCATGAGTGTGTTGGTGACACTGGAGGGAAATGATGTGGTCATTTCATCTGGAGGAGCTGTCTCCATCACATTGTGTACACTTGGGGAAGAAAAAAGAGTTGATGTCATCATCTGCGTGAGGGTGTCGGTTTGAGCTTTGCTGGTGGTCTCCGTGCTCTTAGTCTGGTGGTTCTGAGATGAAGCTGATATGTCCTGATTAGAGGTCCTTGAAGAAGCTGCAGTTGATTGTCCCTCTAGTGTCGCTGTTGTTGAGCCTGTTGAGGTGACTGGGGCAGCAGTTTTACTTCCAGTTATTAATGTGTCCTCTGTGGTTCCTGGAGTGAACCAAAATAGGCAAGCAGAGAGCTAAATCATGAATGAACTCCTATTCACAATTGCTACAAATAGAATAAAATACCTAGGAATACAGCTAACAAAGGATGTGAAAACTACCATTCTTCACAGAATGAGAACAAACTACTTTAAAATTCATATGGAATCAAAAAAGAACCCAAATAGCCAAGACAATCCTAAGCAAAAAGAACAAAGTGGGAGGCTACCTGACTTCAAACTATACTACAAGGCTACAGTAACCAAAACAGCATGGTACTGGTACCAAAACTGACATATAAACCAATGGAACAGAATAGATACCTTGGAAATAAGACCACACATCTACAACCATCTGATCTTTGACAAACCTGACAAAAGCAGGCAATGGGGAAAGGATTCTCTATTCAATAAATGGTGCTGGGAAAACTGGTTAGCCATATGCAGAAAACTGAAACTGGACCCCTTCCTTACACCTTATACAAAAATTAACTCAAGGCAGGTTAAAGACTTACATGTAAAACCCCAAACCATGAAAACCCTAGAAGAAAACCTAGGCAATACCATTCAGGACATAGACATAGGCAAAGATTTTATGATGAAATCTCCAAAAGCACTTGCAACAAAAGCTAAAATTGACAAATGGGATCTAATTAAACTAAAGAGCTCTGCACAGCAAAAGAAACTATCATCAGAGCAAACAGGCAACCTACAAAATGAGAAAATTTTTGCAATCTAACCATCTGACAGAGGTCTAATATCCAGAATTTACAAGGAACTTAAATTTACAAGAAAAAAATAAACAACCCCATCAAAAAGCAGGCAAAGGATATGAACAGACACTTATCAAAAGAAGACATTTATGCCACCAACAAACATATGAAAAAAGGCTCATCATCATGGATCATTAGAGAAATGCAAATCAAAACTACAAAGGGATATCATCTCACACCACTCAGAATGGCAATTATTAAAAAGTCAAGAAACAGCAGATGCTGGCAAGGCTGTGGTGAAATAGGAACGCTTTTACACTGTTGGTGGGAGTGTAAATCAGTTCAACCATTGTGGAAGACAGTGTGGCGATTCCTCAAGGATCTAGAACCAGAAATACCATTTGACCCAGCAATCCCATTACTGGGTATATGCCCAAAGGAATATAAATCATTCTGTTATAAAGATACATGCACACGTATGTTTACTGCAGCACTATTTACAATAGTAAAGACATGAAACCAACCCAAATGTCCATCAGTGATAGACTGGATAAAGAAAATGTGGTACATATGCAGCACGGAATACTATGCAGCCATGAAAAAGGAATGGGATCACGTCCTTTGCAGGTACATGGATGAAGCTGAAAGCCATCATCCTCAACAAACTAACAGGGGAACAGAAAACCAAACACTGCATGTTTTCACTCATAAGTTGGAGTTGAACAATGAGAACACATGGACACAGAGAGGGGAACAACACACACTGGCGCCTGTCAGGGACGGGACAAGGGGAGGAAGAGCGTCAGGATAAATAGCTAATACATGCAGGTGATGGGTTGATAGGTGCAGTAAACCACCATGGCACATATATACCTGTGTAACAAACCTGCACGTTCTGCACATGTATCCTGAAACTTAAAGTAAAAATGAAAAGAAATAAAAAGAAAAAATGAAAAATTAATATATCACAACTGTACATATTTGGGGGATAAAAAAATAATAAGAGATGGGGCCGGGCATGGTAGCCCCACCTGCAATCCCAGCACTTTGGGAGGCTGAGATGGGTGGATCACTTGAGGTCAGGAGTGCGAGACCAGCCTGGGCAATATGGCAAAACCCCGTCTCTACTAGAAAAAAAAATACAGAAATAGCTGGGCGTGGTGGTGGGTGCCTGTAATCCCAGTTACTCAAAAGGCTGAGGCAGGAGAATTGCTTGAACCCAGGAGGTGGAGGTTGCAGTGAGCAGACATCATGCCACTTCACTGCAGCCTGGGCGACAGAGCAAGATTCTGTCTCAAAAAAAAAATAAATAAATAAAATAAAAAAGGAGAGAGAGATGGGGGTGCAGGATTCCCACAGAGGAAGGCCCCTGATAAGCACTGCTTCAAATCGCCTAGAAAAAGCACAGTTGCAGGAATATAGCCAATGGTCTTCTCCAGCTCCCGCCTGTCTTCCTTGTGAGGAGGAAGGTGAGGTTAGACTAGAATGGTGAATTAACTGTGTTAAACTCCATGGGAAGAGGCAAACAGTACCCCTGCTATAAGCCGGGTTAACTCTCTCAACTTGAATTATAGCATTATCTTTCTTAAAAATAAATTAAATTTCTACTTTTCTTTTTCGTTGTTAACATCTGTGCCAATCTGGTAAAAAACCCAAGGGGTAAATGCATATACTCTTGCCCTGGTCACAGACTACCAAGAAGCTAATATTATTGACCATAACCACTTTTTAAAAAAAAATTATTTCCCAGGCAGAGGCCAGGCATGGTGGCTCATGTCTGTAATCCCAGCATTTTGGGAGGCCAAGGTGGGAGGATCACTCGAGGCCAGGAGTTTGAGACCAGCCTGGGCAAGATAGCGAGACCCTGTGTCTTAAAAAATAAAAATAATAATAATAATAATAAAAATAGATATTAAATAAATAAAGAAAAATATTTCCCAGGCAGAATGTTTAAATATTGGCTTTTTTTGTTTAAAATATTTCACAGCACCTGCACTAGCCACATACCATCTTCGTGAATATTACCTTAGCCTCTGAGTCTCTGAACCAAGAAGAAACCAAGAAAACTTGCCTTTTTTTTTCTCTTAGAAACTGACTCTTTTGGGTTTTCATTAGTTCCCTAGCTGTTCTCAAACTTCTTTCTTTTTTCTTTTTAAACATATATATATAGAGAGAGAGAGAGAGAGAAGAAAGAGAGAGAGAGAGAAAGAAAGAGAGAGAGAGAAAGAGAGACAGGGTCTTCTGTCACCCAGGCTGAAGTTCAGCGGTGTAATTGGCCTTCTGAGTAGCTGGGACTACAGGCACACACAACCATGCCTGGGTAATTTTTTTATTTCTGTAGAGGTGGAATCTTGCTATGTTGCCTAGGCTGGTGTCGAACTCCCGGCCTCAAGCGATCCTCCTGCTTCAGACTCTCAAAGTACTGGGATTAAAGGTGTGAGCCACCGCTCCCACCCTTTTTTTCAACCTCAGTGCTCCTAGATAGTTGGCAAGATGATACTCAGAGAGACAAAGTCTCAGGGAAGAATTC